>NW_016107303.1:210353-293522 GCF_000001405.40 Homo sapiens | reverse complement strand
CTACTTGAAGGGTTTCCTAGAACACGGGACAGGAGAGATGTGAGGAAATGAGGGTGCTTGTCCTCTACTCAATGGAAATCTTTGAGGTTGGTTCATGGCCAACACTCTGTTATCTAATGTTGGACCCTGGGAGTCTTGGGATCCTTTTCTCCATAATTTTTGTGTGCGATGCCCACTGTCTTGAGACTTGAAGGTATAAAGAGAAAACAGGAGCATCACACTACCTGACTTAGAAATATGTTACAGAGCTGTAGTAAGCAAAACAGCATGACATTGGCATAAAGAAAGGCACATAAAAAATGGAACAGAATGGAGAACACAGATATAATCCATGCATTTACATCCAATGGCTTTCTTTTGTGTGTGTGTGATGGAATCTTGCTCTGTCATGCAGGCTGGAGTGTAGAGGTGCAATCTCAGCTCAATGCAACCTCCACTTCCTGGATTCAAGAAATTCTCTTGCTTCAAACTCCTGAGTAGTGGTATTACAGGCACTGATCACCATGCTCAGCTAATTTTTGTATTTTTAGTAGAGACGAGGTTTCACTCTGTTGGCCAGCCTGGTCTTGAACTCCTGGCTTTAGGTGATCCACCCGCCTCGGCCTCCCAAAGTGCTGGAATTGCAGGTGTGAGCCACCATGCCCAGCCCATTTAATGGACTTTGACAAAGGTGCCGAGAACTTACAATCAAGAAAGGACAGTCTTCAATAAATGGTGTGGGGAAAACTGGATATCTACATGCAGAGGAATAAAACTGCATCTATACCTGTCACCTTACACAAAAATCAAATGAAAATGGATTAAAAACATGAGTCTAAGGCCTGAACCTATGAAACATGTAGAAGAAAATAATGGGGAAGACATTTGTCTGACGAAAGACATTTTGTTTAAAACCTTCAAAACACAAGTAATCAAAGCAAAAAATAGACCATTAGGATTACATCAAACCAAGCAACTTCTGCACCACCAAAGATAAACCAACAAAGTGAAGAGACAACCCACAAAATAGGAGCAAATATTTGCAAACTATTCATCTGAGATGGGATTAATAACTGGAAATATAAGAAGCTCAAACAACTCAATAAAACAATTTAATTAAAAAACGAGCAAAAGACATGAGGAGACATTTCTCCACAAACAAAACATAGAAATGGCGATCACGTATATGAAAAAGTGCTCAGCATCACTCATCATCACAGAAATGTAAATTACAATCGCGATGAGTTTTCATCTCATCCCATTAAAATGCCTTTTAGGCCGGTGGCTCACGCCTGTAATTCCAGCACTTTGGGAGGCGGAGGTGGGCGGATCACCTGAGGTCGGGAGACCAGCCTGACCAACATGGAGAAACTCCCTCTCTACTAAACATACAAAAATTAGCTAGGCGTGGTGGCACATGCCTGTAATCCCAGCTACTTTGGAGGCTGAGGCAGGAGAATCAGTTGAACGCGGGAGGCAGAGGTTGCAGTGAGCCGAGATCACACCCTTGCACTCCAGCCTGGGCGACTATGAGTGAAACTCCATCTCAACATAAATAAATAAATAAATAAATAAAGTAAAATGGCTTTTATCTGCAAGACAGGCAAAACAAATGCTGGCAAGATGGTAGAGAAAGGAGAACCCTGGTACCCTGTTGGTAGGAATGTAAATTAGTACAACTATTATGGAGAAAAGTATGGAAAAACTTTAAAAAACTAAAAGGAGGCTGGGCATAGTGGCTTATGCCTGTAACTTCAGCACTTTGGGAAACCGAGGCAGGCACCTCACTTGAGGTCAGGAGTTTGAGAGCAGCCTGCCCAAAATTGGGATATCCCGTCTGTGCTAAAAAATACAAGAATTAGTCAGGCATGGTGGCGTGCACCTGTAATCACAGCTATTAGGGAGGCTGAGTCAGGAGAATCGTTTGAACCTAGGAAGCAGAGGTTGCAATGAGCCAAGATCGCACCACTTTGACTCCAGCTTGGACTAAGGAGGGAAACTCTTTCTCAAAAAAGAAAAAAAAAAAAGAGAACTTTCATAGTGTCCAGCAATTTCACTACTGGGTTTATATCCAAAGGAAAGGACATCAGTGTATCGAAGTGATATCTGCACTCATATGACTGTTCCAGCACTGTTCACAGTAGCCAAGATGTGGAGTCAACCTACCTGCCTATCAGTGGGTGAATGGATAGAGAACTGTAGTACACACACACGGTGGAGACTACTCATCCATAGAAACAATAACATCCTGTCATTTGCAGCCACATGGATGGAACTGGAGGTCATTACAAAGATTCCCATTTCTCACCACATGCAGGAGATAAAAGGTGGATCTCATGAAGGTAGAGAATAGAATGGTGGATACCAGAGGCCAGGAAGGGAAGGGTGGAGGGTAACAAAAAAAAGAATATAGATGTATTTATTTATTTAGAAACAGAGTCTCTCTCTGTCTCCCAGGCTGCAGTGCAGTGGCATGATCTCGGCTCAGTGCAACCTCTGCCTCCTGGCTTTAAGTGCTTCTCCTGCCTCAGCCTCCCAAGTAGCTAGGACTACAGGTGCATGCCGGCATGCTTGGCTAATTTTTCTTGTCTGTTTAGTAAAGATGAATTTCCCGCATGTTGGCCAGGCTGATCTCGAGTCCCTGATCTTAAATGATCCACCTTTCTTGGCCTCTCAAAGCGCCAAGATTACAACCGTGAACCACCACACCCAGCATATAAAGGTATTTATGACCACTAGATTTTACTTTTAAAAATGGTAAAGTTGGTAAATTATATAGTTACATTTAACCTCAATAAATATTTTTGAAAATGAAAAGAAAAGAGTGTAGGGGTTGCTGGTGATGACATCTCTCTGTGTGGGTGAGAGGCCAGGATGGGCTTCTGGGAAATGGGTAAGGTTGAGGGGCTGAGGGAACCTCTGATCTCCCCAAACTGAGCCCAGTCTCCCCTTCTCTGGGTCTGTCCTGACCGCTTTCTCCATCTGCCTGGGTGCCTGGAGCCCTGACCATGGGCCTCCATGCAGGCCATGCAAGAGGGTTTGGAGGTGCCCTGTCTGCCATCCTGCACCCTGACCCCCCCCTCACACCCAGTCTTCGTGTTCTCTCTGCATCTGTCCATGCTTCTCCCCATCATCGGCAGGAAGCTCCTCAGCTATGGCTCTAGGATCATAAGACATGGGACAGACACGGGTTTTCCTCACCTGTGACAGAAACAAGCAGTGGGTCACTTGAGTTTGACCACACGCAGGGCAGGGCACGGAAAGAGCCGAAGCATCTGTAGGTCCCTCCGTGGGTGGCAGGGCCCAGAGGAAAGTCTGCCTGGAATGTTCTGTTGACCTTGGGCACTGCACGGAGCCTACGTTCATGGGCCTCCCCTTCCCTGGACAGATGGTAGATGTCATAGGAGCTCCAGGAGCTACAGGACAAGGTCACGTTCTCTCCTGCCTGAACCGTGGGGCCCGGCTGGGCTGAGAGAGAAGGTTTCTCATATAGACCTGGAAGGAGAAGAGGCAGTTTCCTCAGGGAGGTTCTTCCTTGTCACAGCTCCCCTCATACCTGAGCTGAGAACTCACTCCCCTGCTCTATGACCTAATGCTCTCTCTCTCTCTCACCCTCCACCCCAACTCTCTTCATGTCTATTTCCTCCTTCCGCCTTCTCTGTCTCTCTAGGTCTCTGACCTCACTTCCCCACCCCTGGGTATGCTTTCCCTTTTTGGATTGTTTTATTCTCTCTGACTCTCCTTGGATTGGTTGACTTGATCTTCCTTTTTCTATAATTCTGAGTCTCTCACTTTCTGTCTTGTTCATAACTTTCTGCATATTTCTATCTATTATCTATCTATCTATTTTGTGTCTATCTACAAATTATCTGTCATCTATATCTATGTATCATTTATCTATCAATTGTCTATCTGTCTATCCATCAATCATCTATGTATTATCTGTATCTATGTATCATCTCTCTCTCTCTCTATTACCTCTCTGTCTGCCTGTCAGTCTCTATGTATCATCTATGTATCTATATATTTATATATGTGTCTTCTATCTATCTATCTTCATCATCATCATCATCATCATCTCTATGTATCATCTATCAATCATCATCTATGTATCTATAACCTATCCATTATCTATCATCTACCTATTTATCATCTATCTATATCTATCTATCCATCTATCATCTGTCTCTCTCCATCTCCTTGTCTTTCTCTGCCTCTCAGTCTCTCTAGTTCTATTTGGAATCTCTGCAATCCATCCCCACATCTTTATCTTTCTCTGTCTTTGTGCCCCTCCCTCAGGGTTCTGATTTTGGGGCTTTTCTCTCCTCCCTTCCAGCATTCTCTCCACTCCTCTGCCCTCTTTTCTTTCTTTTTGTGTGTCTGTGAGTCTCTCAATCCCCTTCCTCTGGCTCATTCTCTGTGTGTTTATGCCTTTGCTTTTTGAAGTCCCTGATTTATCTCTGTGTCTCTCAGTGATCCTATTATATGTAGGATTATTTGGAATATGAGCCTCAGAATCTAGTCTGGGGACACCAAGTACACACAGTATTTAGGGGTTGGTGTTCTGGGGCCATGATATCCTGGGATAATTATGGCTCCACTGCATGGAAGGCAGAGGTGTCAGAATAAACATGGCATCTGTAGATGCCACAAGGCCTGAGGCCACAGGGCCCAACTCAGGTCAGAAATATGGGTGTCCTTGGGTTCTCCTCGTAGAAGCACTTTGTGGAGACAAAACAGAAATGAAACTTCTAACCTGTGCCAGGTCTCTGAGCAAAGTCAGCATGGAAGGACACTTCTCTCTGGCACATGTCTGTCTGTCTGAGTGTCTCCTTTACCTCTTTCTCTCTTTTCTACTTCCCCGTATGGCCCCTGTGTCTGTCCTCTGTTATGACACCTGGTCTGTACTTATGTCTCCTGTTTCCCTGTCTCTGTTGGTACAGACCTCACCGAGTCAGTCTCTCTCCATAAGAATCCCACGCTTATCTTCCTCATGACCACCTGGGGGTTCCAAGTCCTGGATCATTCACTCTGTGTCCCAATGACAATGAGAAGAATGTCTGGACACTCTCACCTGTGATCACGATGTCCAGGGGGTCACTGGGAGCTGACAACTGATAGGGGGAGTGAGGAACAGAACCATAACATCTGTAGGTTCCTGCAAGGACAGGCATCAAGGGACCGATGGAGAAGTTGGCCTTGGAGACCCCATCATGGATCTGTCCAACGAGGCGTGAGGGGTCCTCAGAGATCCCCTCTCTGTGCAGAAAGAAGTGCTCAAACATGACATCTGACCAACATTGCAGGATGACTGTCTCTCCTGATTTCAGCAGGGGCCCTGGGTGGGCCAGGAGGGAAGGTTTTCTGTGGTTTCCTAGAAAGAGAAGTTGTGAGTTTAGAAGGCATCTCTCTTTATCATCCCATCCATGGCACCTGGAATGAGTGAGGGTTCCCCTCCCAGAGGTCTGTCTCTCTCCTCCCTCTCTGTGTCTCCGTGTCTTTTCTGTGCCCATATCCCCTGGTGCAGGTCCCTCCATTTGTCTTCCTCCCTCTTCTCTGTCCCTCTGTCTCCAGTAGCCCCTGACTCCCTTCCCACTGTGAAGAGAGCCTCATCTCTTGGGCTGTTGTATCTCTTTCCCACTAGTCTCTTTCCTGCTGTCTATGTGGGGGTGGAAGAGGACAGGCTGCATGTCCAGGCTCTCAGCAGCCTGAATCAATCTCTTTTGAACAAATTGGAGTCTCTGGCAGAGGTATCAACTCATCAGTAAGGCAGACATCAGTGTCCACACACCCTGTTCCTGATGGGGATTGGGAGCCTCTCCTGCCATGTCTGTGCCTTCTCCATGGCCCCAGCTTCCATAGGGTGGTCCCTGGTGCTGGTTCCAGGAGCATCAACCCCTTCCTATGTGGATGGAGCCTGGTGGTGGCATCAGCATCCCACCCTTGCTGATCCCACGGTAGCCAACCTTCTCCTTGTTTGGTTTCTTTAATTAATTGATTAATTAATTTATTTTTGAGACAGTCACTTTTTCACCCAGGCTGGAGTGCAGTGGTGTTGTCTTGGCTCACTGCAACCTCTGCCTCCCCGGTTCAAGTGATTCTCTTGCCTCAGCCTCCCCAGTCGTTGGATTACTCGTGCCCACCACCACACCTGGCTATCCTTGTTTGGTTTCCTAGCTTGTCCTTGACCTGGGTTCCTGTGTCGGTTTCCTGTTGCTGCTGCAGAAAATTATCACAAACATGGCAGCAGGAGAGAACACACTGACCCCTTCCACTTCTGGGGACAGAAATTGGATCCAGTTCTCCCTGTGCTGAAATCAAGGCATCTGCAGGGCTGCGTTCCCTCTGGAGACTCAGCGAATCAGTTCTCTTGACTTCTCCAGCCCTTAGAGGCCACCTGCATTCTGTGACTAGTGGCCTTCCTCCACCTTCAAAGCCCACAGTGGCTGATAGCGTCTCCCTCCCACTACACTGCTCTAATCCCCACTCCCCTCTTCCTCCACCTCTCACGCGGACCCTTGTGATTACACTGAGCCCAGCAGGACAGTCCAGGCTGTCTCCCCATCTCAAGGTCAACTCATCAACAACCTGAGCTCCACCTTCCCCTTCAGTCCCCTGCCCTATAACATAAATAGTCACAGGCTCCAGGGTTTACAATGTAGCCATCATTGGCGACAGTGATTCTTCCCACCACAGCGCCCATTTCCCCTGTATTCAATCCCCCTTGACCCCAAATACAGTTGGGGCCTGGGTGATGGGACCCTGATGGACACCCCCACCAGAAGCTCTGGGATTCAGGAGGTGGGACAGTGAGAAGCCCAGACAGAAAGCCTCTGACCTGTGACCATGATCACCAGGGGGTTGCTGGGTGTCGACCACCCAGTGAGGGAGTGTGGGCGTGAACCCCGACATCTGTAGGTCCCTGCATGTGCTGGGGTCACAGGGCCCATGATGAAGCTCTCCTGGAATATTCTGCCGTGGAAGATGGGAACGTGGCTTCTGTCTTCTTTGTACAGCATGAAATTGTTAAACCCACGACGATAGTGACACTGAAGAGCCACGTGTCCTCCTCGAGGCACCACAGTGCTGGGCCGGGCAGACAGGAAGGGTTTGTCCTGACCACCTGGGGGAGAAGGAGGCACTGCCTTAGAGAGGAGGATGTGGAGCCACCCCTCCCTCCCTGTGCTCAGAAGATTCTCCCATTTCCACTTTCTAAGGCTCCTACCACACCTGGGTGCCCAGGGCTACAGGAAGGACCCACCCCACATAGACATGGCGTCTCCCTACAACAAGTGTCAGCTGAGAACTTTGAGCAAGTGCTGAATAAGTGACTCTTACTAGATTTTAATACTGCAAAATTACTCACATAAAACAACACAAAGTAGACACGGCATGGAGGGCATGTCCTATGTGAATGGAATATCAGCCAATTCATGAACTGAGCCCCCTCAGAGGATTTGGAATGTCAGGGCCATGGCTGTGGTTTCCCCCCTCTTCTGGTAGAAAGACCGCAGCCACACTGCAGTCCCTACCGTCACGGAAACGCTGGAGGGTGTCAGTTATACCTTTGTCCTCAGAGGACCTGCTGTTCCTAGCACTGCTTCCCTCTCTTTCTCTGCTGCTGACACCACTTCCTCCCTGCACACCCCAGCTTGGAGCACCCCAGTCTCACCCCAGTCTTCACAGAGCTTGACTCAGGAAAGGGAAAGAAAGGCCGGGGAGGGCGAGGTCAGAAATGTGGGCCGAGTATCCAAGGGTCCCCTCTTCCTAGTTTATGAGAGACTCCCCGACAGGACTTCCCTCCTGTTTCAGAAAAATCCTCTTATGTGGGGAGATGACACCCTAAGGTTTGGGGAAGGACTCACCCATGAGTGGCCAGGCCCCCTGCAGCAAGAAGAACCCTGGAAAGAAAGATCATGATAGACGATCCAACTGCAGGCAAACCAGGGCACCCTGCTGCCCCCACTGCACTGTGTGTCTTGGCAGCCAGGCCCTTGCTGGGCTGAAGGTAAACTTAGCCTCCCTGCTACCTGCTGCCAAGAACAGGGCTCTCAGCTGTGGAGAGACCCAGGCTCCAGGCCCAGATCAACACTTCCTGGCCCAGATCTCCACTCCAGGCCCATATCTCCACTCCAGGCCCCTATCTCCACTCCAGGCCCATATCTCCACATCAGACCCATATCTCCACTCCAGGCCCATATCTCCACATCAGACCCATATCTCCACTCCAGGCCCAGATCTCCCCTCTAGGCCCATATCTCCACTCCAGGCCCATATCTCCACTCCAGGCCCATATCTCCACATCAGACCCATATCTCCACTCCAGGCCCATATCTCCACTCCAGGCCCAGATCTCCACCTGCAGGCCCATATCTCCACTCCAGGCCCATATCTCCACTCCAGGCCCGTATCTCCACTCCAGGCCCATATCTCCACACCCAGGCCCATATCTCCCCTCCAGGCCCATATCTCCACTCCAGGCCCATATTTACACCTCCAGGCCCATATCTCCACACCCAGGCCCATATCTCCACTCCAGGCCCATATCTCCACTCCAGGCCCATATCTTTACCTCTAGGCCGAGATCTCCATCCCCACTCTCCCTCCCTCTATTCCCTTCCAGGACTCACCAACGCACGCCATGCTGACGACAGTGAGCGACATGGTGCTGCCGGTGCAGACAGGAGGCCGCGCCCCAGCTCAGCTCAGCAGCGCACAGGATGTTATTTGGCGCCCTGCCCATGCAGTTTACATGTTGACCACATCATGGGAGGGTGACGTACGCAGGCTCTTTCTACCTTGCATGAGGCCCAGTGGGTGCTCGCTCAAGAGCGGAACATGGCTTCCTGGAAATTGTTGTGACTACAATTGCCACCTTGCATCCTTCACTATGACCAGACTCAAAAGACGTCTCAGATCCAACCTCTCACACATGAGGTGATTGAATTCTGTGCTTACATTAAAGACTTTTGATGTATTTTTGTTTTTATCTGAGATTCAAACTTTTCTTCATGTGTAATGTGCAAAATATCTAAGAGGTATTATTAACATTATCAGAGTAATTGTGACAAAAAGCCATTCTAATTTTCCTGATGAGTTTCTAGTACTAAACCTGAGGCACGAGAATTGCTTGAACCTGGGAGGCGGAGGCTGCAGTGAGCTGAGCTCAAGCCACTGAACTCCAGCTTGGGTGACAGAGGAAGAGTCTGTCTCAAGAAAGAAAAAAAAAAGCAAACTAAATAACCTATAATAACAAATCAGAGAACTCAGGTTACCAAATTTTAAGGGGTTCTATAAGTTTATATGAAATGCAGCATCCTCATGAGAGGGGATACAGAGAACCACTGGGCAGAAAACTGTGTCTAAAATACATCTGTGGATACACAGTCCCTTCATAGTTGACAAAGGCTGCCATGTAGTTTAAGGTGGAATAGAATATTTTCTCAATAAATAACACAGGACCATAGGGTTACACGTAGGAAAAAATAAATCTAAACTTATCCTCACACTATAAAAACACTTCTTATTTTTTATCTTGTTGTTGTAAACTTTTTATGCTTTATTTTTAAGATTGACAAATAAAAATTATATACTGTGGTCCTTCACTATTCCTGGGTGATTGGTTCCAGGATCCCCATTCAGATACCAAAATCTGCAGATGCTCAAGCCCCTTGCATGAAATGGCATAGCGAAGCTGGGCACCGTGGCTCACGCCTGTAATCCCAGCACTTTGGGAGGCTGAGTTGGGTAGATCACGAGGTCAGGAGTTCAAGACCAGCTGGTCCAACATTCTGAAACCCCATCTCTACTAAAAATACACACACAAAAAAATTTATCTGTGCATGGTGGCACGTGCCTGTAATCCTAGGGGAGGCTACTGGGGAGGCTGAGGGAAGACAATCGCTTGAACCTGGGAGGCGGAGGTTGCAGTGAGCTGAGATCATGCCACTGCACTCCAGCCTGGGTGAGAGAGTGAGACTGTCTCAAAAAAAAAAAATAGCATAGTAATTGCATAGAACCCATGCACATCCTCCTGTATACATGAAATCATCTCTTGATTACTTATAATTCCTGACACAGCCTACACGCCACTCAATTTGTGTCGATTCAACATAGTTTTTTGCTTCTTGAAACTTCGGGGATTTTTTTCTGAAAACATTTTTGATTTATTGTTGGTTCAATAAACACCTGTAAACCCCACAGATATGGAGGACCGACTGTATATTTATATTATGAAAGATGATATGTTGATATGTGTCCCCGTGGAGATGAGGCTAACAAGGCCTATGACTCTACAAATGTTTCATCGTGGAATGACTCTGCCAGCTTTCCAGGTCTGCAGAGAGTAAGAATATCACTTGTTCATGTGATTCACGATCCTTGGAGCCTCCTATGTGCTGTATCTTTGGATGGAAATTGGAGTCTCAGAGACAAATCAGGCTCCATTCTGCTTCCAGAAGCTCAGAGTCCAGGGCTGAGAACCCAATGGAGAACAGATGGGGTTATGTGGACATGGTAATGATAACACCGGAAGCCTTAGGCAAGAAAAGAGTCTCGTTACCGAAACCATGAGGGCAGACATGTTTATTTGAAGGCGGGAAAACTACATTGAAATTATTTAAAAAATTTATAAGTTTTACTGCTGGCAGAAGGCTGAAAGATAGTCTGAAGGGAGGTGGAACAGCACGTGTCTAAGTGCTGTGTTAAGAGGCAGCCTCTTGTATGTTTGGAATTGTGAGTTCCTCAGTGTGATTGCAGCCTCAGGTAGACTAGGAAGTAAGCCAGTTAGGTTGGAGAGGTGGGCAGGGGTCAAGTGAAATGGAGAATTGTGGGCTAAGCAAAGGAGTGTGTTTTCTCTCCAGCAGGCAGTGGGGACCTTAGACATTTGTAAGCAAGAGAGAGGCATGTTCAGATTCGTGGTGTGAGGAAGAGCGATGCCCTAAGATGAAGACTGATGCCTTCAGATTCCAGCTGCTGGTACATGGGAGCTGGCAACCCGGTTTTGAGACAGGGCTGTTGTCTCCCTAGAAGATCCCCTCAAGGCCTGACTGTGGTGCTCGTGGACAGAAGACAACTTTGGATCTGGGCTCAGCATTTGGAAGTTCTATGTACATGCTGGTATCTGTTGGGGGTGTCTTGGGCCTCTCAGAAGGGCGAGTGATTTTTCTCTGTGTGAAAACACAGTGATCCAATTATGCGTATGACACCTCCTGATGGTCTTGTTCATCAGAATCCTGGAGAGAGGGAAATGCTGAGTGAGGGAGGGTGCTCACATTTTTCAGGACTCTTTGGGAATAAGACTAGCCACGAGGCTGGGCCGAGGAGCACCTACCTCGCTGTTCACTGTTCTGTTCCCTGCAGGCTCTTGGTCCATTACAGCAGCATCTGTAGAAGACGGAAGTCAACAAAAGAGCTCGGAGGGCACTTCTGGGTCCTCATTTCATAAGCAGATACCAACAAACAGGGGGAGGCCATAGGTGCCTGAGGTCCCTCAGTTGCCAACAGCAGACTCAGACATTCTATCTCTCTGAGTTCAAGGACCCATCCCATGAATAGCTCTGAGGTCCCATCCCATTGATTCTATCTCCCACTTTCTGCCTGTCATGGAACCTTCTCCTGGATGTGAGTGGCTGCAGGGGACGTGAGGATACAGTTCAGAATCAGGCAATGGTCTGTGAGCTGAAGGCAGGGGAAGGGAATCTGGTGCTCTCTCTAGAAAGTCCTGCCTCTGTGGCTCCTGTCTTGGGCCAGGGACCATCCTGCTGGTGAGGAACACACATCCGCGTGCTCCCATCCTGCTTCCCCACATGGCCCTGAGCTCTCTGGCCTCTGCTTCGTGAGACTTACTTTTTTTGTCGGAGCACCAGCGATGAAGGAGAAAGAAGAGGAGGATGGTGAAAGGGATTTTGACCACTGAGGTCCCAATCAGAACATGTAGGTGTCTGGGGTTACCTGGAAGAAGAGGAGACACCAATAAGAAGCTAATCATAGCAGTTCCTCTTTATGAATTGTCTCGCATTTCTTGATTGGCAGGTAACCACATACAACGTCTCTTTAGGACAAGCACCCAAATGGCGGGAGACCTAGCTTTCCCCTGCTTTCTCAATTATAGCTCTCATAGTAACCATAGAACGTGCTGAGGATACAACTACTTTAGTTGAGATGTTTGACCCTTTCAAACCTCACATTGAAATTTCACCCCCATTGTGGGAGGTTGGGCCTCTTCAGAGGTGTTTGGGTCATGGAGGTGGATCCATCATGAACAGACCAATGCTGTCCCAAGGAGACGGGGTTAGCAAGTTCCCCCTCTGTTAGTTCCTGGAGAGCTGGTTGTTAAAAAGAGCTTGGAAGCTCCATCGCTCCCTCTCCCCCTTACTCTCTCTCTTGCCGTGTGATCTCTGCGGTCTCTGCACAGACAGACCCTCCTTCCCTTCTGCCAGAGTGGGAGCAGCCTGAGGCCATCACGAGAAATAGATTCTGGTGCCATGCTTCCAGTACAGCCTGCAGAACTGTGAGGCAAACCAATCTCTTTTCTTTAGAAGTTACCCAGGCTCAAGTGTTCCTTTAGAGCAACAAAAATGGACTAAGATAGCAACATCCTGAGATCAGGAGGAATGTCTCAGAACAGCCTGGGCTGTCTTCCTGTTCTTCCTGGAGGAGGACGTCATGCAGTGCTTTAGCTGAGTGCTTCCTGTGGCTCCAGGGTACAAAACCCAGGCTGGGCTGCTTTCTGGCTTCCCCCAGTTACACTGCAAATGGGGTGACTCCATATGTCCCGAGCAGCTTTTCTGAGCCTTGAGGGACTGGCTCACATTGAAATGCAGGCTTCTGTTGTCACTCACTGCTTATCTGTTAGTAATGAACCTGCCTATGTAACGTATTCTCTGTGTGTTCTGTCTCCCTGGAGTGACGGTGAGTGATAGGAATTGGCATAGGCCCAGGTGCAGTCCAGGATTTGTTTAGAGTCTTCTCTGGGAAGACTGCACTGGGATTGATACACAGCGAATGTGCTTTAGGATTTCTACATCCACAGCATTCTTGAGTCAAACAAATTGCATTCACCAAGGAAAGGAAACAAAGGTGAAATCACGATTAAAAATAGCGAAGCAAGATTCTCTTATGTCAAACAGCCAGAAAATAGTGTTGAAGCCCGTGTGAAATGTGCTGCTCTTTGTGATCTCGGGAGACACATGTTAGGCTGCTGTTCTACCCGAGAGGCTGGGGGAAGGACCACCCCCTCCACCATCTATTGCTTCAATACCACCTGTCCTCCTGTGAATTAGTAGGAAAGGGGAACAGGAGCTAGTGCTGTCGCTGATCTCTGATTCCAAGATCTGGACTCACTCCAAGGAGTATTAATGTTTCCTCCCCATGGTCTATCTGAATCTCCACAGGTGATTGGAAGTAGGGGTGAGGTGGGGGATTTGGGTGAGTGGGCAAGTTTTTTTTTGCGATGAACAGAGCACTTTCTCTATTCCAGGATCCGTGCTGGAGGATTCAGCGGGCTTTCACATTTTCTATGTGATCTCATGCTCACAGAAAGCCAAATAGGGAAGAGGTTTTAGGCTCATTGCCTAATGGATAAGATAAAGGATCAAAGAAGTAATTATAGAGAAATAGAAAAATGATGATTGGAATTCAGGTGCCTTTGTCATTCGTGTGTGTTTTATTATATTTATGCATTTCTTATTTTTATTTTTTGAGACGGAGTCTCCTTGTGTCACCCAGGCTGGAGTGCAGTGATGCAATCTCCACTCACTGCAACCTCCACCTCCTGGGTTGAAGTCATTCTCCTGCTTCATCCTCCAGAGTAGGAGCTGGGATTACAGGGATGCACCACCATGCTCGGCTAATTTTTGTATTTTTAGTACAGATAGGGTTTCACCATGTTGGCCAGGCTGGTCTGGAACTCCTGACTTCATGGAATCCACCCGCCTTGGCCTCCTGCAGTGCTGGGTTACAAGCGTGAGCCACCGTTCACAGACTTGTATATTACGCTATAATAGGTCTCTTCATTTCCACCACCCCTCATATATCTGTCACTCCTTTGCCAGGTATTGATTTATGTGTAGGATGAATAAATCTCAGAAAGAAATTAATTAAGCGAGGATTAAACAAGTAGGAAAATCAAACCCAGCAAGCCTTTCCAGCCAATGATTCTACCTCACAAGCATAGCTTATATCCATCTGCTTCATCCACTTAGTGTCAAAATCAGCACCACATTTCACCAGTGGGTCGGGAATTGCCTTTTCCACGGTCTCCTAGATTCCAGTTACGCCCCTGGGCCTCCTTTATTTTCATGTCAGTCATATTAATCATGTAGGGATTCCTGGTTACCCCGAGGTGAATCCAATGGCTGTGAGTGTCAAACACACACTCCTTGTTGCTCCTTAGTTTCCTGTGTACCCAGTGTGCTCTCCGTCTCTCCACAGTCGTCTTGTCATTCTCCCCACCTCATTCCCAGCATTTGAGGAAGAGCCTCTTCCTTCCACATCAGATTGTTTTCACCTTTGTGCCTTCACGGCTGACAGCTGTGTGTGCAAAATCCTTCCGCCAATCTTTCAGGGGTTCAATCCGTGTTTTTCATTAATGTCACAAATATCTGAATAGTGAGACCTTCTTTGTCACCTGAAATCATACACTCAGCATTATCTATTATTGATTTTGAATTCTGGCTGGGCACAGTGGCTCACGCCTGTAGTCCCATTACTTTGGCATGCTGAGACGGTCGGATCACTTGAGGTTGGGAGTTTCAGACAAGCTTGGCCAACGTGGTGAAACATCCTCTCTACAAAAAATATACAAAAAGAATTAGCCGGGCACGGTGGCAGTTGCCTGTAATCCCAGCTACTCGAGAGGCGGAGGCAGGAGAATCACTTGAATCCAGGAGAAGCAGGTTGCAGTGAGCCAAGATCGTGACACTGCACTGTAGCCTGGAAGACAGAGGGCAACTCTGTCTCAATAAACAAAAGAACAAACAAAAAATAGATTTCATGCACAGATGCTTCCCAATGGATCATTCATTTATAGATCCACTTGTGCATTCATTTTCTGCCCTCCCATTTAACCATCTGCAATATCAGTGTCCCAAGGGCAGAGGCCAAATGCATCTTGTTCACTGTTTGTGGAAGGCAGGAGAATGCTGTCCCACCCCAAAATGTCCCTGTCCTAGCCTCCATAGCTTGTGAATATGTTATTTTACATGGAAAGGAGGAATGAAGATTGCAGATGGAATTATGGTTACTAATCAGCTGAACTTAAAACAAGGGTATCCTGGATGATTTCCAGGAGATTATGAGGGATTTTCATCTTGGTGAACCCAATAGAATCCCCAAGTTTTCAAAAGATGAGGAAGAAGGGAGAGCAGCATTCAGAGAAAGAAGTGTGGTAAGGAAGAAGGCACTGAGTGATGCCATGTGAGATGTGACCAGTCTTTGTGGGCTTTGAGGAAGGAGGAAGGGGACCAGGAGCCAAGGAACTGGGAGCCTTTAGAAGCTGGGACAAGTGAGAAGCAGATTCGTGCCTGGAATCCTCAGAGGGAAGGCAGCCTTGCTGTCACCTTGATTTTAGCCCAGTAAGATGCACTTCCTACTTTGAGCTACAGCACTGTAAGATAATTAAAAAACCGTTTTGTTTTCACCCACGAATCTTGTGGAAATTTGTTATGGCAACAATAGGAAAAGGTTCCGCACTGCACAGCCTGAGCATGGGGCCGTGGCTGAATGAGTCAGTGAGTCGAAGTGTGTGTGCATGAGCTCTGTTCTCTGTTACGGCAAGGCTCTTGCTCTGCTGAGTCAGCCAGGGTTGCTTCATGACCTACAGGAGCTCATTCCTTGGCAAGTGGAACTTCTCTAAAACACCTCGCCCTCATCAGATGTTCCCTTCCCTTCCCTCTCTCAAGTCTCCAGGAATTTATCCTCCAGTTAGGAATGCAGGCAGAACAAACATTGCATTTTTCCTGAGAAGGATGTCAGATTGGCAATCATTCTTCTAGCTTGTAGGAGGTCTCAGCTCCATAAAATGAGAGATGAAGAGATTTCACTGAGCCCTGTGTTGGGCCCAGATCCCTTTCGCTGTAGGAGTATCTGGAGTTCGGAGATGGTGGAAGACAGGTGTACAATGTCAGAGCTGTGAGATGCTGAGTCAACGCCTGAATCCAAGGTTTCCACCTCCCCAGGTTTCCAAAAGCGGATATAAGAGGGTTCTGTACTCACCGGTTTCGGAGCTTGGTTCAGTGGGTGAAGGCCAACTATTTGAAGGGTTTCCTAGAACATGAGACAGGAGAGAGGTGAGGAAATGAGGGTTTCTGTCCTCCACTCAGTGGAAATCTTTGAGGATGGTTCATGGCCAACACTCTGTTATCTAATATTGGGCCCTGGGAGTCCTGGGATCCTTTTTTCCATAATTTTTTTATGTGACACCCACTGTCTTGAGACTTCAAGGTATAAAGAGAAAACAGGAGCATCACACTACCTGATCTCAAAATATGTTACAGAGCTGTAGTAAGCAAAATAGCATGACACTGGCATAAAGAAAGGCACATAGAACAACGGAGCAGAATGAATAACACAGATATATTCCATGCATTTACATCCAATGGTTTTTTATTTTTTCTTTTGAGATGGAGTCTTGCTCTGTCACTCAGGCTGGAGTGCAAAGGTGCAATCTCGGTTCACTGCAACCTCAGCCTCCTGGGTTCAATCATTCTCTTGCCTCAAACTCCTGAGTAGTGGTATTACAGGTGCTGACCACCATGCTCAGCTAATTTTTATATTTTTAGTGGAGATGATGTTTCATCACGTCGGCCAGACTAATCTTGAACTCCTGGCCTCAGGTGATCCACCCACCTCGGGCTCCCAAAGTGCTGAAATTGCAGGTGTTAGCCACCAAGCCCAGCCCATCCAATGGACTTTGACAAAGATGCCAAGAACTCACAATCAGGAAAGGACAGTCTTTTCAATAAACAGTGCAGGGAAACCTGGACATCTACATGCAGAGGAATGAAACTGCACCTCTACCTGTCACCATACACAAAAATCAAATGAAAATGGATTAAAGATGTGAGTCTAAGGCCTGAACCTATGAAACACGTAGAACAAAATATTGGGGAAATGCTCCAGGACATTTGTCTGAAGAAAGACATTTTGTTTTAAACCTTGAAAACACAAGTAATCGAAGCAAAAATAGACCATTGGGATTACCTCATACTAAGCAACTTCTGCACCGCTAAAAATAAACCAACAAAGTGAAGAGACAACCCACAGATTGGGAGCAAATATGTGCAAACTATGCATCTGAGATGGGATTAATAACTAGAAATATAAGAAGCTCAAACAACTCAATAAAACAAATGATTTAATTGAAAAAGGAGCAAAAGACATGAAATTTCCCCACATACGAAAAACTGCTCAGTATCACTCATCATCAGAGAAACGCAAATTAAATTCAAAGTGAGTTTTCATCTCACCCCATTAAAATGGCTTTTAGGCCGGGTGAGGTGGCTCACGTTTGTCATCCTAGAACTTTGAGAGCCTGAGGTGGGTGAATCTCATAAGGTCGGGAGTTTGAGACCAGTATGACCCACATAGAGAAACACTGTCTCTACTAAAAATACAAAAATTAGTCGGGCGTGGTGGCGTGTGCCTGTAATTCCAGCTACTCGGGAGGCTGAGGCAGGAGAATCGCTTGAACCTGGGAGGTGGAGGTTGTGGTGAGCCGAGATCGCGCCACTGCACTCCAGCCTGGGTGAGAAGAGCAAAACTCCATCTCAAAATAAAATGAAATAAAATAAAATGGCTTTTAGCTGCAAGACAGGCAAAAGAAATGCTGGCAAGGTGGTAGAGAAAGGAGAACCCTGGTACCCTGTTGGGAGGAGTGTAAATTAGTACAGCCATTACGGAGAAAAGTATGGAAGTCCTTTAAAGAACTAAAAAGAGGTTGGGTGCGGTGGATCATGCCTGTAATCCCGGCACTTTGGGAGACTGAGGCGGGCACCTCAGTTGAGGTCATGAGTTTGAGAGCAGCCCAGCCAACATGGGGAAACCCCATCTATACTAAAAAAACCAAAAAGTAGCCAGGCATGGTGGTGTGCACCTGTAATCCCAGCTACTAGGGAGGCTGAGGCAGGAAAATCATTTGAACCCAGGAGGCGTAGGTTGCAATGAGCCAAGGTCGCACCACTTTGACTCCAGCTTGGGCTAAGGAGGGAAACTCTTTCTCAAAAAAGAAAAAAAGAAAAAAAGAGAACTTTCATAGTATCCAGCAATTTCACTACTGGGTTTATATCCAAAGGAAAGTAAATCAATATATCGAAGTGATATCTGCACTCGTATGATTGGTGCAGCACTGTTCACAGTAGCCAAGATGAGGAGTCAACCTACCTGCCCATCAGTGGGTAAATGGATAGAGAGAATGTAGTACATACGCATAGTGGAGACTACTCATCCATAGAAAGAATAACATCCTGTCATTTGCAGCCACATGGATGGAACTGGAGGTCATTACAAAGATTCCCATTTCTCACCCATATACAGGAGCTAAAAGGTGGATCTCATGAAGGTAGAGAGTAGAATGGTGGCTACTGGAGGACAGGAAGAAAAGGGTGGAGGGTAAAAAAAATGTATATATATATATATGTATATAAATGTATTTATGACCACTAGACTTTACACTTAAAAATGGTAAATGTGGCTGGGCGCGGTGGCCCATGCCTGTAATCCCAGCACTTTGGGAGGCAGATGCGGGTGGATCACTTGGTCAGGAGTTCGAGACCAGCTCGACCAACATGGTGAAACCACCTCCCTACTAAAAATACAAAAAGTAGCCTGGCGTGGTGGTGCGTGCCTGTAGCACCAGCTACTCAGGTGGCTGAGGCAGGAGAATCGCTTGAACCCAGGAGGTGGAGGTTGCAGTGAGCTGAGATTGTGCCACTGCACTCCAGCATAGGGGACACAGCTAGACTCCACCTCAAAAAAAAATGTTAAAAGTGGTAAGCTATATAGGTATATTTATCCTCAATAAATATTTCTTCAAAGAAAAGTAAAGGGTGTAGGGGTTGCTGGTGATGACATCTCTGTGTGGGTGAGAGGCCAGGATGGGCTTCTGGGAAATGGGTAAGGTTGAGGGGCTGAGGGAACCTCTGATCTCCCCAAACTGAGCCCAGTCTCCCTCCTCTGGGTCTCTCCTGACCGCTTTCTCCATCTGCCTGGGTGCCTGGAGCCCTGGCCGTGGGCCTCCATGCAGGCCATGTAGGAGGGTTTGGAGGTGCCCTGTCGGCCATCCTGTGCCCTGATCCCTCCCTCACACCGAGGCTGCGTCTTCTCTCTGCATCTGTCCATGCTTCTCTCCATCATCAGCAGGAAGCTCCTCAGCTAAGGCTCTAGGATCATAGGACATGGGACAGCCATGGGCTTTCCTCACCTGTGACAGAAACAAGCAGTGGGTCACTTGACTTTGACCACTCGTATGGAGAGTCACGGAAAGAGCCGAAGCATCTGTAGGTCCCTCCATGGGTGGCAGGGCCCAGAGGAAAGTTGGCCTGGAATGTTCCGTTGACCTTGGTCCCTGCAGGGAGCCTACGTTCATGGGCCTCCCCTTCCCTGGATAGATGGTACATGTCATAGGAGCTCCGGGAGCTGCAGGACAAGGTCACATTCTCTCCTGCCAGAACCGTGGGGCCCGGCTGGGCTGAGAGAGAAGGTTTCTCATATAGACCTGGAAGGAGAAGAGGCAGTTTCCTCAGGGAGGATCTTCCTTGTCACAGCTCCCTTCACCTGAGCTGAGAACTCACTCCCCTGCTCTATGACCTAATGCTCTCTCTCTCTCTCTCTCACCCTCTACCCCATCGCTCTTCATGTCTATTTCCTCCTTCCACCTTCTCTGTCTCTTTAGGTCTCTGACCTCACTTCCCCACCTCTAGATATGTTTTCTCTTTTTGGATTGTTTTATTCTCTCTGACTCTCCTTGGATTGGTTGACTTGATGTTACTTTTTTTAATTCTGAGTTTCTCACTTTGTGTCCTGTTCATAACTTTCTGCATATTTCTATCTATTATCTATCGATCTATCTATTTATCTATTCGGTGCCTATCTACAAATTCTCTACCTGTCATCTATATCTATATATCATCTATTTATCCATCAATTGTCTATCTATCCATCAATCATCTATTATCTATATCTATGTATCATCTCTCTCTCTCTATGATTTCTCTATGTCTGCCTCTGTATCTCTATGTATTATCTATCTATCTGTCTTCATCATCATCATCTCTATGTCTCATCTATTAATGAATCAATCAATCATCATCTATGTATCTATAACCTATTATCTATCATCTACCTATTTATCATCTATCTATATCTATCCATCTATCATCTGTCTTGCTCTGCCTCTCGGTCTCTCTAGTTCTCTTTGGAATCTCTGCAATTCATCCCCACATCTCCATCTTTCAATGTCCTTGTGCCTCTCCCTCAGGAGTCTAATTTTAGTGCTTTTCTCTGCTCCCTTCCATCATTCTCACTTCTCTGCCCTCTTTTCTCTTTATGTGTCTGTGAGTCTCTCAATCTCCTTCCTCTGGCTCATTCTCTGTGTGTTTATGTCTTTGCTTTTTGGTGTCCCTGATTTCTCTCTGTGCCTCTCACTGATCCTCTCATAAGTGGGCTTATTTGGAATATGAGCCTCAGAATCCAGTCTGGAGACTACAAGTTCACACAGCATACAGGGGTTGGTGTTGTGGGGCCATGATATCCTGGGACGATTACTCTCCATTACATGGAAGGCAGAGGTGTCAGAATAAACATGGCATCTGTAGGTGCCACAAGGCCTGAGGCCACAGGGCCCAACTCAGGTCAGAAATATGGGTGTCCTTGGGTTCTCCTGGTAGAGAACACTTTGTGGAGGTAAAACAGAAATGAAACTTCTAACCTGTGCCAGGTCTCTGAGCAAAGTCAGCATGGAGGGACACCTCTCTCTGGGACATGTCTGTCTGTGTGTTTCCTTTAACTCTTTCTGTCTTTTCAAACTCCCGGTATGGCCCCTGTGTCTGTTCTCTGTTATGACACCTGGTCTCTACTTGTGTCTCCTGTTTCTCTGTCTCTGTTGGCACAGACCTCACCAAGTCAGTCTCTCTCCATAAGAATACCAAGCTCATCTTCCTTACAGCCACCTGGGCCTCCAAGTCCTGGATCATTCACTCTGCATCCCAATGACAATGAGAAGAAAGTCTGGACACTCTCACCTATGATCACGATGTCCAGAGGGTCACTGGGAGCTGACAACTGATAGGGGGAGTGAGTAACAGAACCGTAGCATCTGTAGGTCCCTGCCAGGTCTTGCTTCATGCGACTGATGGAGAAGTTGGCCTTGGAGACCCCATCATGGTGTTCTCCAATGAGGCGCAAAGTGTCGTTAAACATCCCCTCTCTGTGCAGAAGGAAGTGTTCAAACATGACATCTGACCAACATTGCAGGATGACTGTCTCTTCTGATTTCACCAGGCGACCTGGGTGGGCCAGGAGGGAAGGTTTTCTGTGGACTCCTAGGAAGAGAGGTTGTGAGTTTAGAAGGTGTCTCTCTTTATCATCCCATCCATGGCACCTGGATTGAGTCAGGCTTCCCCTTCCTGGTGTCTTATCTCTCTCCTTCCTCTCTGTGTCTTCATGTTCTTTTCTGTGCCCATAACTCCTGGTGCAGGTCCTTCCATCTGTCTCCCTCACTCTTCTCTGTCCCTCTGTCTCTAGTAGCCTCTGATTCCCTTGCCGCTGGGCTCAGCCTCATCTCTTGGGCTGTTGTATCTATTTCGAACTAATGTCTTTCCTGCTGTCTGTGTGGGGGTGGAAGAGGAACCAGGATAGGCTGCACATCCAGGCTCTTAGCAGCCTGGTTCAATCTCTTTTGGACGAATTGGAATCCTTGGCAGGAGGTATGAACTGATCAGTAAGGCAGGCACCAGTGGCCACACACCCTGTTCCTGGTAGGGACTGGGAGACACTCTTGCCATGCCAGTGCCAGCTTCCATAGCCTGGCTCCTGGTGCTGGTTGGAGGAGTATCAACCGCTCCCTATGTGGATGGAGCCTGGTGGTGGCATCATCATCCGAGCCTTGCTGATCTCAGTGTAGCCAACCTTCTCCTTGTTTGGTTTCTTTAATTAATTAATTAATTTTGGCGACAGAGTCTCACTCCTTTGCCCAGGCTGGAGTGAAGTGGTGTGGTCTAGGCTTACTGCAACCTCTGTCTCCTGGGTTCAAGTGATTCTCCTGCCCTCAGCCTCCCAAGTCGCTAGGATTACATGCACCTGCCACCATGCCTGGCTATCCTTGTGTTGTTTCTTAACTTGTCCTTGACCTGGGTTCCAGTGTTGGTTTCCTGTTGCTGCTGTAGAAAATTATCAGAAGCATGGCAGCAGGAGAGAGCACACTAACCCCTTCCAATTCTGGAGACAGAAATCGGACCCTGTTTGTCGTGGGTAAAATCAAGGTACCTGCAGGGCTTCGTTCCCTCTGGAGACTCAGGAGAATCAGTTCCTTGACTTTTCCAGCCTCTATAGGCCACCTGCATTCATGGCTCCTGGACTTCCTCCACCTTCAAAGCTGATGGAGACTCCCATTATGCTGCTGTAATCCCCACTCCCCTCTTCCTCCTCCTTTCCTGTGGACCCCTGTGACTACACTGAGCCCATCAGGACAGTCCAGGTTGTCTCCCCATCTCAAGGTCAACTCATCAACAACCTGAGCTCCATCTTCTCCTTCAGTCCCTTCCCCTATATCATAAATAGTCACAGACTCCAGGGATTAGAATGTAGTCATCACTGGGGACAATTATTCTTCCCACCACAGCACCCATTTCCCTGTATTCAATCCCCCTTTACCCCAAATACAGTCAGGACTTGCATGATGGGACCCGCAAGGACACGCCCACCAGGAGCTCTGGGATTCAGGAGGTGGGACAAGGAGAATCCCAGACAGGAGCCCTCTGACCTGTGACCGTGATCTCCAGGGGGTTGCTGGGTGCCGACCACCCACTGGGGTAGTGTGGTTGTGAACCCCGACATGTATAGGTCCCTGCGTGTGCTGGGGTCACAGGGCCCATGAAAAGGCTGTTCCAGAATATTATGTTGTAGAGCTCAGGGACAGGCACCCCATCTTCCTTTTACAGACTGAAGTTGTTAAACCCAAGATAAGAATGACACTGAAGAATCACATATCCTGGAGGCACCACAGGGCTTGGCCAGGCAGACAGCAAGGGCTTGTCCTGACCACCGTGGGGAGAAGGAGGCACCGCCTTAGAGAGGAGGATGTGGAGCCGCCCCTCCCTCCCTGTGCTCTGAAGATTCTCCTCGCTTTCCAAGTTTCTATGGCTGCTATCACACCTTGGTGCCCAGGGCTAAAGGAAGAACCCATCCCGCAAACACAAGGTGTCTCCCTACAACAAAAGTGTCAGCTGAGAACTTTGAGCAAGTGCTGAGTAAGAGACTCCTACTAGATTTTAATACTGTAAGATTACTCACATAAAACAACACAGGGTAGACATGGGGTGGAGGGCATGTCCTTTGAGAATGGAATATCAGCCGATGCCTGAACGAAAATAAACAACTGAGTCCCCATCAGAGGATTGGAATGTCAGGGCCATGGCTGTGGTTTTCCCACCTCTTCTGGTAGAATGACAGCAGCCACACTGCAGCCCCTACCGTCATGGAAACGCTGAAGTGTGTGAGTAACACCTTTGTCCTCAGAGGATCTGCTGTTCCTACCACTTCCCCACCACACACCCCAGCTTTGAGCACCGTAGTCTAACCCTGGTCCCCACAGAACTTGACTCTGCCAAGGGAATGAAAGGCCAGGGAGGCAAGGTCAGAAATGTGGGCCCAGCACCCCAGGGTCCCTTCTTCCTAGTTTATGAGAGACTCCCTGACAGGACTTCCCTCCCATTTCAGGAAAATCCTCTTATGTGGGGAGATGACACCCGAAGGTTTGGAGAAGGACTCACCCTCATGTGGCCAGGCCCCCTGCAGCAAGAAGAACCCTGGAAAGAAAGATCATGATGGATGACCCATCTGCAGGCAAACCAGGGCACCCTTGCTGCCCCCACTGGGCTGTGAGTCTTGGTAGCCAGGCCCTTCCTGGGCTGAAGGTAAACTCACCCTCAGTGCCTACCTGCACCCAAGAACAGGGCTGTCGGCTGTGCAGAGACCCAGCCTCCAGGTCCATATCCCCACCTCAAGCCCATATCTCCACTCCAGGCCCATATCTCCACTCCAGGCCGATATTTCCACCCTAAGCCCATATCGCCAATCCAGGCCCATATCTCCAATCCAGGCTCAGATCTCCACCCTGGGCCCATATCTCCAATCCAGGCCCTTATCTCCACTCCAGGTCCATATCTCCTCTCCAGTCCCATATCTCCACTCCAGGCCCATATATCCTCTCCAGTCCCATATCTCCACACCCAGGCCCGTATCTCC
The DNA here is from genome assembly GCF_000001405.40 of Homo sapiens. Taxonomy (NCBI): domain Eukaryota; kingdom Metazoa; phylum Chordata; class Mammalia; order Primates; family Hominidae; genus Homo; species Homo sapiens. The sequence continues at coordinate 269,081 of NW_016107303.1, read as the reverse complement.
ATCCTAGGCACATATCTCCTCTCCAGGCCCAGATATCGACCTCTAGGCCCATATCTCCACTCCTGGCCCATATCTCCACTCCAGGCCCAGATATCGACCTCTAGGCCCATATCTCCACTCCTGGCCCATATCTCCACTCCAGGCCCATGTCTCCACTTCAGGCCCATATCTCTACTGCAGGCCCGTAACTCCACCTCCAGGCCCATGACTCCACTCCAGGCCCATATCTCCACCTCCAGGCCCATATCTCCCCTCCAGGTTCCTATCTCCCCTCCAGGTTCCTATCTCCACTCCAGGCCCAGATCTCCACTACAGTCCCATCACTCCACCTCCAGGCCTATATCTCGACCTCTGGGCCCAGATCTCCACTTCTAGGCCCATCACTCCATCTCTAGGCCCATATATCCACTCCAGGCCCAGATCTCCACTCCAGGCCCACAACTCCACCTCCAGGCCTATATATCCACCTCTGGGCCCAGATCTCCAACCCCACACTCCCTTCCTCTATTCCCTTCCAGGACTCACCAACACACGCCATGCTGACGACCGTGAGCGACATGGTGCTGCCGGTGCAGACAGGCGGCCGCGCCCCAGCTCAGCTCAGCAGCGCACAGGATGTTATTTGGCGCCCTGCCCATGCAGTTTACATGTTGACCACATCATGGGAGGGTGACGTACGCAGGCTCTTTCTACCTTGCATGAGGCCCAGTGGTTGCTCGCTCAAGAGCGGAACACGGCTTCCTGGAAATTGTTCTCACTAGAATTTACACCTAGCGTCCTTCACTATGACCAACTCAAAACACGTCTCAGATCCAACCTCCTGAACACGAGATGCCTAAAATCTGTGCTAACGTGAAAGACTTTTCATGTATTTTTATTGTTTTTATCTGAGATTCAAACTCTTCTTCCTGTGTAATATGCAAAATATCTAATAGGTATTATTAAGGTTTTCAGAGTCATTGTGACTAATAAACCATTAGAATTTTTCATGCTTGTATTTCTAGTATTACAGCAGAACCAGTTAAAATGATTTAAATTCCCAGGGAAGGATTATGCAATTATTTACAATCTTTGAATTGTACGTTATCAGCAAAAACCACACATTTAAACTCTGGATTTTTGTAGATTTATCTAAAATTTGTCTCATGACCCAAGTTTCCAGAGTCCCAACTCTGGAGTTTGCTCTCTCTCTGTCTCTCTCCCTCCCTCATTTTAAATTTTACAGAAATATCCAGTAACATAATGCTATAGAAAATCAAGTTTCCCCCAGCACGTCGGGAAGCCGAGGTGGGCGGATCAACTGATATAAGGAGTTTGAGAGCAGCCTGGCAACACAGTGAAACCGTGTCTCTGCTAAAAATCCAAAAATTAGCCGTGCCCAGTGGCAGGAACTTGTAACACCAGCTACCCAAGAGGCTGAGGCACGAGAATCGCTTGAACCTGGGAGGCGGAGGTTGCAGTGAGCTGAGATTGCACCACTGCAGTCCAGCCTGGGCGACAGAGCAAGACTCCGCCTCAAGAAAATAAAAATAGCAAATAGCCTATAATAACAAATTAGAGGCCTCTGGCTACTAAATTTAAAGGGTTCTATGGGGCTACATAAAGTGGAGCATCCTCAAGAATGTGGACACAGAGAGCCGTTTAGCAGAGACAGTGTCTAAAATACACATCCGTGTACACACAGTCCCTTTTTAGTTGACAAAGGCTGCCGTGTGGTTTAAGGTGGCATAGAATGTCTTCTCAATAAATAATATTAAACCAAAGGGTTACACATAGGAAATAATAAATCTAAACTTATTCTCACACTATAAAAACACTTCTTAGTTTTTATCTAGTTATTGTACATTTTTTATGATTTATATTTAAATTTGAGAAATAAAAGTCCTATACCGTCATCCTTCACTATTCATGGGTGATTGGTTTCAGGATCTCCACTCAGATACTAAAATCTGCAGATGCTCAAGCCTCTTACATAAAATGACACAGCATTTGGATATAACCCATGCACATCCTCCTGTATACATGAAATCATCTCTTGATTACTTATAATTCCTGATACAGCCTATACACCACCTCATTTGTGTGCATTCAACACAGTTTTGCTTTTTGGAACTTTGTGGGCTTTTTCTCTGAATATTTTTGATTTATACTTGGTTCAATAAACACCTGTAAACCCCACAGATACGGAGGAGCGACTGTATATTTATAGTATGAAAGATGATGCGTTGACATGTGTCCCCGTGGAGATGAGACTAACAAGGCCTATGACTCTACAAATGTTTCATCATGGAATGACTCTGCCAGCTTTCCAGGTCTGCAGAGAGTAAGAATATCACTTGTTCATGTGATTCACGATCCTTGGAACTTCCTATGTGCTGCATCTTTGGATGGAAATTGGAGTCTCAGAGACAAGTCAGGGTCCACCCTGTTCCAGAAGCTCAGAGTCCAGGGGTGAGAACCCAGTGGAGAACAGATGGGGTTATGTGGACATGGTAATGATAACACCAGAAGCCTTAGGCAAGAAAAGAGTCCCATTACCGAAACCATGAGGGCAGACATGTTTATTTGAAGGAGGGAAAACTACATTGAAATTACTAAAAACAATTTATAAGTTTTACTGCTGACAGAAGGCTGAAAGATAGTCTGAGGGGAGGTGGAACTGCATGAGAGAAGGTGGAACAGCACGTGTCTAAGTGCTGTGTTAAGAGGGAGCCTCTTGTATGTTTGGAATTGTGAGTTCCTCAGTGTGATTGCAGCCTCAAGTAGACTAGGAAGTAAGCCAGTTAGGTTGGAGAGGTGGGCAGGGGTCAAGTGAAATGGAGAATTGTGGGCTAAGCAAAGGAGTGTGTTTTCTCTCCAGCAGGCAGTGGGGACCTTAGACATTTGTAAGCAAGAGAGAGGCATGTTCAGATTCGTGGTTTGAGGAAGAGCGATCCCCTAAGATGAAGACTGATGCCTTCAGATTCCAGCTGCTGGTACATGGGAGCTGGCAACCCGGTTTTGAGACAGGGCTGTTGTCTCCCTAGAAGATCCCCTCAAGGCCTGACTGTGGTGCTCGTGGACAGAAGACAGCTTTGGATCTGGACTCAGCATTTGGAAGTTCTATGTACATGCTGGTATCTGTTGGGGGTGTCTTGGGCCTCTGAGAAGGGGGAGTGATTTTTCTCTGTGTGAAAACACAGTGATCCAATTATGCGTATGACACCTCCTGATGGTCCTGTTCATCAGAATCCTGGAGAGAGGGAAATGCTGAGTGAGGGAGGGTGCTCACATTTTTCAGGACTCTTTGGGAATAAGACTAGCCACGAGGCTGGGCCGAGGAGCACCTACCTCCCTGTTCACTGTTCTGTTCCCCGCAGGCCCTTGGTCCATTACAGATGCATCTGTAGAAGATGGAAGTCAACAAAACAGCTCGGAGGGCACTTCTGGGTCCTCATTTCATAAGCAGATACCAACAAACAGGGGGAGGCCATAGGTGCCTGAGGTCCCTCAGTTGCCAACAGCAGACTCAGACATTCTATCTCTCTGAGCTCAAGGACCCATCCCATGAATAGCTCTGAGTTCCCATCCCATTGATTCTATCTCCCACTTTCTGCCTGTCATGGAACCTTCTCCTGGATGTGAGTGGCTGCAGGGGACGTGAGGGTACAGTTCAGAATCAGGCAATGGTCTGTGAGCTGAAGGCAGGGGAAGGGAATCTGGTGCTCTCTCTAGAAAGTCCTGCCTCTGTGGCTCCTGCCTTGGGCCAGGGACCATCCTGCCTGTGAGGAACACACACCCGCGTGCTACCATCCTGCTTCCCCACATGGCCCTGAGCTCTCTGGCCTCTGCTTCGTGAGACTTACTTTTTTTGTTGGAGCACCAGCGATGAAGGAGAAAGAAGAGGAGGATGGTGAAAGGGAGTTTGACCACTGAGGTCCCAATCAGAACGTGTAGGTGTCTGGGGTTACCTGGAAGAAGAGGAGACACCAATAAGAAGCTAATCATAGCAGTTCCTCTTTATGAATTGTCTCGCATTTCTTGATTGACAGGTAACCACATACAACGTCTCTTTAGGACAAGCACCCAAATGGTGGGAGACCTAGCTTTCCCCTGCTTTCTCAATTATAGCTCTCATAGTAACCATAGAACGTGCTGAGGATACAACTACTTTAGTTGAGATGTCTGACCCCTTCAAACCTCACATGGAAATTTCACCCCCACTGTGGGAGGTTGGGCCTCTTGGGAGGTGTTTGGGTCATGGAGGTGGATCCATCATGAACAGAACAATGCTGTCCCAAGGAGACGGGGTTAGCAAGTTCCCCCTCTATTAGTTCCCGGAGAGCTGGTTGTTCAAAAGAGCTTGGAAGCTCCATCGCTCCCCCTCCCCCTTACTCTCTCTCTTGCCGTGTGATCTCTGCGGTCTCTGCACAGACAGACCCTCCTTCCCTTCTGCCAGAGTGGGAGCAGCCTGAGGCCGTCACAAGAAATAGATTCTGGTGCCATGCTTCCAGTACAGCCTGCAGAACGGTGAGGCAAACCGATCTCTTTTCTTTAGAAGTTACCGAGGCTCAAGTTTTCCTTTAGAGCAACAAAAAAAAACTACGACAGCAACGTCCTGAGATCAGGAGGAATGTCTCAGAACAGCCTGGGCTGTCTTCCTGTTCTTCCTGGAGGAAGGCGTCATGCAGTGCTTTAGCTGAGTGCTTCCTGTGGCTCCAGGGTACAAAACCCAGGCTGGGCTGCTTTCTGGCTTCCCCCAGCTACACTGCAAATGGGGTGACTCCATATGTCCCGAGCAGCTTTTCTGAGCCTTGAGGGACTGGCTCACATTGAAATGTAGGCTTCTGTTGTCACTCGCTGCTTATCTGTTAGTAATGAACCTGCCTGTGTAATGTATTCTCTGTGTGTTCTGTCTTCCTGGAGTGACGGTGAGTGATAGGAATTGGCATAGGCCCAGGTGCAGTCCAGGAGGTGTTTAGAGTCTTCTCTGGGAAGACTGCACTGGGATTGATACACAGCGAATGTGCTTTAGGATTTATACATCCACGGCATTCTTGAGTCAAACAACTTGCATTCTCCAAGAAAAGGAAACAAAAGTGAAATCAAGATAAAAAAAGCGAAGTAGAATTCTCTTATGTCAAATGGCCAGGAAATAGTGTTGAAGCCCATGTGAAACGTGCTACTCTTTGTGATCTCAGGAGACACATGTTAGGCTGCTGTTCTACCCCAGAGGCTGGGGGAAGGACCACACCCTCGGCCATCTATTGCTTCAATACCACCTGTCCTCCTGTGAATTAGTAGGAAAGGGGAGCAGGAGCTAGTGCTGACGCTGATCTCTGATTCCAAGATCTGGACTCACTCCAAGGAGTATTAGAATTTACCTCCCCATGGCCTATCTGAATCTCCACAGATGATTGGAAGTAGGGGTGAGGTGGGGGATTTGGGTGAGAGGGCATGTTTTTTTTGTGATGAACAGAGCACTTTGTGTATTCCAGGATCTGTGCTGGAGGATTCAGCGGGCTTTCACATTTTCTATATGATCTCATGCTCACAGAAAGCCAAATAGGGAAGAGGTTTTAGGCTCATTGCCTAATGGATAAGATAAAGGATCAAAGAAGTAATTATAGAGAAATAGAAAAATCATGATTGGAATTCAGGTCCCTTTGTCATTTGCGTGTGTTATATTATATTTATATTTATGCATTTCTTATTTTTATTTTTTGAGACGGAGTCTCCTTGTGTCACCCAGGCTGGAGTGCAGTGATGCAATCTCCACTCACTGCAAACTCCACCTCCTGGGTTGAAGTCATTCTCCTGCTTCATCCTCCAGAGTAGGAGCTGGCATTACAGGGATGCACCACCATGTTCGGCTAATTTTTGTGTTTTTCCTAGAGACAGGGTTTCACCATGTTGGCCAGGCTGGTCTCGAACTGCTGACTTCGTGTGATCCACCCGCCTTGGCCTCCTGCAGTGCTGGGTTACAGGCGTGAGCCACCGTTCACAGACTTGTATATTATGCTGTAATAGGTCCCTTCATTTCCACCACCCCTCATATATCTGTCACTCCTTTGCCAGGTATTGATTTATGTGTAGTAGGAATAAAGCTCAGAAAGAAATTAAGCGAGGATTAGACAACTAGGAAAATCATACCCAGCAAGCCTTTCCAGCCAATGATTCCACCTCACAAGCATATCTTATATCCATCTGCTTCACCCAGTTAGGGTCTAAATCAGCACCACATTTCACCAGTGAGGCGGGAATTGCCTTTTCCACGGTCTCCTAGATTCCAGTTACGCACCTGGGCCTCCCTTATTTTCATGTCAGTCACTATTAATCATGTAGGGATTCCTGGCTACCCCGAGGTGAATCCAATGGCTGTGAGTGTCAAACACACACTCCTTGTTGCTCCTTAGTTTCCTGTGTACCCAGTGTGCTCTCCGTCTCTCCACAGTCGTCTTGTCATTCTCCCCATCTCATTCCCAGCATTTGAGGCAGAGCCTCTTCCTTCCACATCAGATTGTTTTCAGCTTTCTGCCTTCACGGCTGACAGCTGTGTGTGGAAAATCCTTCCGCCAATCTTTCAGGGGTTCAATCCGTGTTTTTCATTAATGTCACAAATATCTGATTAGTGAGATCTTCTCTGTCACCCAAAATCATACACTCAGCATTATGTATTATTTATTTTAAATTCTGGCTGGGCACAGTGGCTCACGCCAGTTATCCCAGTACTTTAGGATGCTGAGACGGTCGGATCACTTGAGGTTGGGAGTTTCAGAGAAGCTTGGCGAAGATGGTGAAACATCCTCTACAAAAAATATACAAAAAGAATTAGCCGGGCATGGTGGCAGTTGCCTGTAATCCCAGCTACTCGAGAGGCTGACGCAGGAGAATCACTTGGATCCAGAAGGTGCAGGTTGCAGTGAGCCAAGATGGTGACACTGCACTGTAGCCTGGAAGACGGAGGGAGACTCTGTCTCAATAAACAAACGAAGAAACAAACAAATAGATTTCATACACAGATGCTTCCCAATGGATCATTCATTTATTGGTCCACTTGTGCATTCATTTTCTGCCCTCCCATTTAACCATCTGCAATATCAGTGTCCCAAGGGCAGAGGCCAAATGCATCTTGTTCACTGTTTGTGGAAGGTAGGAGAATGCTGTCCCACCCCAAAATGTCCCTGTCCTAGCCTCCATAGCTTGTGAATATCTTATTTTACATGGAAAGGAGGAATGAAGATTGCAGATGGAATTATGGTTGCTAATCAGCTGAACTTAAAACAAGGGTATCCTGAATGATTTCCTGGAGATTATGATGGATTTTCATCTTGGTGAACCCAATAGAATCCCCAAGTTTTCAAAAGATGAGGAAGAAGGGAGAGCAGCATTCAGATAAAGAGGTGTGGTAAGGAAGAAGGGTCTGAGTGATGCCACGTGAGATGTGACCAGCCTTTGTGGGCTTTGAGGAAGGAGGAAGGGGACCAGGAGCGAAGGAATGTGGGAGCCTCTAGAAGCTGGGACAAGTGAGAAGCAGATTCTTGCCTGGAACCCTCAGAGGGAAGGCAGCCTTGCTGTCGCCTTGATTTTAGCCCAGTGAGATGCACTTCATACTTTGAGCTAGAGCACTGTAAGATAATTAAAAAACCGTTTTGTTTTCACCCACGAATCTTGTGGAAATTTGTTATGGCAACAATAGGAAAAGCTTCCACACTGCACAGCCTGAGCATGGGGCCGTGGCTGAATGAGTCAGTGAGTCGAAGTGTGCGTGCATGAGCTCTGTTCTCTGTTACGGCAAGGCGCTTTCTCTGCGGAGTCAGCCAGGGTTGCTTCATGACCTACAGGAGCTCATTCCTTGGCAAGTGGAACTTCTCTAAAACACCTCGCCCTCATCAGATGTTCCCTTCCCTTCCCTCTCTCAAGTCTCCAGGAATTTATCCTCCAGTTAGGAATGCAGGCAGAACAAACATTGCATTTTTCCTGAGAAGGATGTCAGATTGGCAATCATTCTTCTAGCTTGTAGGAGGTCTCAGCTCCATAAAATGAGGGATGAAGAGATTTCACTGAGCCCTGTGTTGGGCCCAGATCCCTTTCGCTGTTGGAGTATCTGGAGTTCGGAGATGGTGGAAGACAGGGGTACAATGTCAGAGCTGTGAGATGCTGAGTCAACGCCTGAATCCAAGGTTTCCACCTCCCCAGGTTTCCAAAAGCGGATATAAGAGGGTTCTGTACTCACCGGTTTCGGAGCTTGGTTCAGTGGGTGAAGGCCAACTATTTGAAGAGTTTCCTAGAACACGAGACAGGAGAGAGGTGAGGAAATGAGGGTGTCTGTCCTCTACTCAGTGGAAATCTTTGAGGATGGTTCATGGCCAACACTCTGTTATCTAATATTGGGCCCTGGGAGTCCTGGGATCCTTTTTTCCATAATTTTTTTATGTGACACCCACTGTCTTGAGACTTCAAGGTATAAAGAGAAAACAGGAGCATCACACTACCTGATCTCAAAATATGTTACAGAGCTGTAGTAAGCAAAACAGCATGACATTGGCATAAAGAAAGGCACATAGAACAATGGAGCAGAATGAATAACACAGATATATTCCATGCATTTACATCCAATGGTTTTTATTTTTTCTTTTGAGATGGAGTCTTGCTCTGTCACTCAGGCTGGAGTGCAGAGGTGCAATCTCAGTTCACTGCAACCTCAGCCTCCTGGGTTCAATCATTCTCTTGCCTCAAACTCCTGAGTAGTGGTATTACAGGTGCTGACCACCATGCTCAGCTAATTTTTATATTTTTAGTGGAGACGATGTTTCATCACGTCGTCCAGACTGATCTTGAACTCCTGGCCTCAGGTAATCCACCCGCCTCGGCCTCCCAAAGTGCTGAAATTGCAGGTGTTAGCTACCAAGCCCAGCCCATCCAATGGACTTTGACAAAGGTGCCAAGAACTCACAATCAGGAAAGGACAGTCTTTTCAATAAACAGTGCAGGGAAACCTGGACATCGACATGCAGAGGAATGAAACTGCACCTCTACCTGTCACCATACACAAAAATCAAATGAAAATGGATTAAAGATGTGAGTCTAAGGCCTGAACCTATGAAACACGTAGAACAAAATATTGGGGAAATGCTCCAGGACATTTGTCTGAAGAAAGACATTTTGTTTTAAACCTTGAAAACACAAGTAATCGAAGCAAAAATAGACCATTGGGATTACCTCAAACTAAGCAACTTCTGCACTGCTAAAAATAAACCAACAAAGTGAAGAGACAACCCACAGATTGGGAGCAAATATGTGCAAACTATGCATCTGAGATGGGATTAATAACTAGAAATATAAGAAGCTCAAACAACTCAATAAAACAAATGATTTAATTGAAAAAGGAGCAAAAGACATGAAATTTCCCCACATACGAAAAACTGCTCAGTATCACTCATCATCAGAGAAACGCAAATTAAAATCAAAGTGAGTTTTCATCTCACTCCATTAAAATGGCTTTTAGGCCGGGCGAGGTGGCTCACGTCTGTCATCCTAGAATTTTGAGAGCCTGAGGTGGGTGAATCTCATAAGGTCGGGAGTTTGAGACCAGTATGACCCACATAGAGAAACGCTGTCTCTACTAAAAATACAAAAATTAGTAGGGCGTGGTGGCGTGTGCCTGTAATTCCAGCTACTCGGGAGGCTGAGGCAGGAGAATCGCTTGAACCTGGGAGGTGGAGGTTGCGGTGAGCCGAGATCGCACCACTGCACTCAGCCTGGGTGACAAGAGCGAAACTCCACCTCAAAATAAAATGAAATAAAATAAAATGGCTTTTAGCTGCAAGACAGGCAAAAGAAATGCTGGCAAGGTGGTAGAGAAAGGAGAACCCTGGTACCCTGTTGGGAGGAGTGTAAATTAGTACAGCGATTACGGAGAAAAGTATGGAAGTCCTTTAAAGAACTAAAAAGAGGTTGGGTGTGGTGGATCAGGCCTGTAATCCCGGCACTTTGGGAGACTGAGGCGGGCACCTCAGTTGAGGTCATGAGTTTGAGAGCAGCCCAGCCAACATGGGGAAACCGCATCTATACTAAAAAAACCAAAAAGTAGCCAGGCATGGTGGCGTGCACCTGTAATCCCAGCTACTAGGGAGGCTGAGGCAGGAAAATCATTGGAACCCAGGAGGCGGAGGTTGCAATGAGCCAAGGTCGCACCACTTTGACTCCAGCTTGGGCTAAGGAGGGAAACTCTTTCTCAAAAAAGAAAAAAAAAAAAAAGAGAACTTTCATAGTATCCAGCAATTTCACTACTGGGTTTATATCCAAAGGAAAGTAAATCAATATATCGAAGTGATATCTGCACTCGTATGATTGGTGCAGCACTGTTCACAGTAGCCAAGATGAGGAGTCAACCTACCTGCCCATCAGTGGGTGAATGGATAGAGAGAATGTAGTACATACGCACAGTGGAGACTACTCATCCATAGAAAGAATAACATCCTGTCATTTGCAGCCACATGGATGGAACTGGAGGTCATTACAAAGATTCCCATTTCTCACCCATATACAGGAGCTAAAAGGTGGATCTCATGAAGGTAGAGAGTAGAATGGTGGCTACTGGAGGACAGGAAGAAAAGGGTGGAGGGTAAAAAAAATGTATATATATATATATATAAATGTATTTATGACCACTAGACTTTACACTTAAAAATGGTAAATGTGGCTGGGTGCGGTGGCCCATGCCTGTAATCCCAGCACTTTGGGAGGCTGATGCGGGTGGATCATGTGGTCAGGAGTTCGAGACCAGCTCGACCAACATGGTGAAACCACCTCTCTACTAAAAATACAAAAAGTAGCCTGGCATGGTGGTGCGTGCCTGTAGCACCAGCTACTCAGGTGGCTGAGGCAGGAGAATCGCTTGAACCCAGGAGGCGGAGGTTGCAGTGAGCTGAGATTGTGCCACTGCACTCCAGCATAGGGGACAGAGCTAGACTCCACCTCAAAAAAAAATGTTAAAGGTGGTAAGCTATATAGGTATATTTATCCTCAATAAATATTTCTTCAAAGAAAAGTAAAGGGTGTAGGGATTGCTGGTGATGACATCTCTGTGTGGGTGAGAGGCCAGGATGGGCTTCTGGGAAATGGGTAATGTTGAGGGGCTGAGGGAACCTCTGATCTCCCCAAACTGAGCCCAGTCTCCCTCCTCTGGGTCTCTCCTGACCGCTTTCTCCATCTGCCTGGGTGCCTGGAGCCCTGGCCGCGGGCCTCCATGCAGGCCATGTAGGAGGGTTTGGAGGTGCCCTGTCTGCCATCCTGTGCCCTGATCCCTCCCTCACACCGAGGCTGCGTCTTCTCTCTGCATCTGTCCATGCTTCTCTCCATCCTCAGCAGGAAGCTCCTCAGCTAAGGCTCTAGGATCATAGGACATGGGACAGCCATGGGCTTTCCTCACCTGTGACAGAAACAAGCAGTGGGTCACTTGACTTTGACCACTCGTATGGAGAGTCACGGAAAGAGCCGAAGCATCTGTAGGTCCCTCCGTGGGTGGCAGGGTCCAGAGGAAAGTCGGCCTGGAATGTTCTGTTGACCTTGGGCCCTGCAGGGAGCCTACGTTCATGGGCCTCCCCTTCCCTGGATAGATGGTACATGTCATAGGAGCTCCGGGAGCTGCAGGACAAGGTCACGCTCTCTCCTGCCAGAACCGTGGGGCCCGGCTGGGCTGAGAGAGAAGGTTTCTCATATAGACCTGGAAGGAGAAGAGGCATTTTCCTCAGGGAGGATCTTCCTTGTCACAGCTCCCTTCACCTGAGCTGAGAACTCACTCCCCTGCTCTGTGACCTAATGCTCTCTCTCTCTCTCTCTCACCCTCCACCCCATCTCTCTTCACGTCTATTTCCTCCTTCCACCTTCTCTGTCTCTCTAGGTCTCTGACCTCACTTCCCCACCTCTAGATATGTTTTCTCTTTTTGGATTGTTTTATTCTCTCTGACTCTCCTTGGATTGGTTCACTTGATGTTACTTTTTTTAATTCTGAGTTTCTCACTTTGTGTCCTGTTCATAACTTTCTGCATATTTCTATCTATTATCTATCGATCTATCTATTTATCTATTCCGTGCCTATCTACAAATTCTCTACCTGTCATCTATATCTATATATCATCTATTTATCTATCAATTTTCTATCTATCCATCAATCATCTATTATCTATATCTGTGTATCATCTCTCTCTCTCTATGATTTCTCTATGTCTGCCTCTCTATCTCTATGTATTATCTATCTGTCTTCATCATCATCATCTCTATGTCTCATCTATTAATGAATCAATCAATCATCATCTATGTATCTATAACCTATTATCTATCATCTACCTATTTATCATCTATCTATATCTATCCATCTATCATCTGTCTTGCTCTGCCTCTCGGTCTCTCTAGTTCTCTTTGGAATCTCTGCAATTCATCCCCACATCTCCATCTTTCTATGTCCTTGTGCCTCTCCCTCATGACTCTAATTTTAGTGCTTTTCTCTGCTCCCTTCCATCATTCTCACCACTCCTCTGCCCTCTTTTCTCTCTCTTTATGTGTCTGTGAGTCTCTCAATCTCCTTCCTCTGGCTCATTCTCTGTGTGTTTATGTCTTTGCTTTTTGGTGTTCCTGATTTTTCTCTGTGCCTCTCAGTGATCCTTTCATATGTGGGGTTATTTGGAATGTGAGCCTCAGAATCCAGTCTGGAGACTACAAGTTCACACAGCATACAGGGGTTGGTGTTCTGGGGCCATGATATCCTGGGACGATTACTCTCCATTACCTGGAAGGCAGAGGTGTCAGAATAAACATGGCATCTGTAGGTGCCAGAAGGCCTGAGGCCATAGGGCCCAACTCAGGTCAGAAATATGGGTGTCCTTGGGTTCTCCTGGTAGAGAACACTTTGTGGAGGTAAAACAGAAATGAAACTTCTAACATGTGCCAGGTCTCTGAGCAAAGTCAGCATGGAGGGACACCTCTCTCTGGGACATGTCTGTCTGTCTGTCTCCTTTAACTCCTTCTGTCTTTTCTAACTCTCGGAAAGGCCCCTGTGTGTGTCCTCTGTTATGACACCTGGTCTGTACTTGTGTCTCCTGTTTCTCTGTCTCTGTTGGTACAGACCTCACCAAGTCAGTCTCTCTCCATAAGAATACCAAGCTCATCTTCCTTACAACCACCTGGGCCTCCAAGTCCTGGATCATTCACTCTGCATCCCAATGACAATGAGAAGAATGTCTGGACACTCTCACCTGTGATCACGATGTCCAGAGGGTCACTGGGCGCTGACAACTGATAGGGGGAGTGAGTAACAGAACCGTAGCATCTGTAGGTCCCTGCCAGGTCTTGTGTCATGCGACCGATGGAGAAGTTGCCCTTGGAGACCCCATCAATGTGCTCTCCAATGAGGCGCAAAGTGTGGTTAAACGTCCCCTCTCTGTGCAGAAGGAAGTGCTCAAACATGACATCTGACCAACATTGCAGGATGACTGTCTCTTCTGATTTCACCAGGGGACCTGGGTGGGCCAGGAGGGAAGGTTTTCTGCGGAATCCTAGGAAGAGAGTTTGTGAATTTAGAAGGTGTCTCTCTTTATCATCCCATCCATGGCACCTGGATTGAGTGAGGCTTCCCCTCCCTGGTGTCTGTCTCTCTCCTTCCTCTCTGTGTCTTCATGTTCTTTTCTGTGCCCATAACTCCTGGTGCAGGTCCTTCCATCTGTCTCCCTCCCTCTTCTCTGTCCCTCTGTCTCTAGTAACCTCTGATTCCCTTGCCGCTGGGCTCAGCCTCATCTCTTCGGCTGTTGTATCTATTTTGAACTAATGTCTTTCCTGCTGTATATGTGGGGGTGGAAGAGGAACCAGGATAGGCTGCACATCCAGGCTCTTAGCAGCCTGGTTCAATCTCTTTTGGTCGAATTGGAATCCTTGGCAGGAGGTATGAACTGATCAGTAAGGCAGGCACCAGTGTCCACACACCCTGTTCCTGGTGGGGACTGGGAGCCACTCTTGCCATGCCTGTGCCAGCTTCCATAGCCTGGCTCCTGGTGCTGGTTGGAGGAGTATCAACCGCTCCCTATGTGGATGGAGCCTGGTGGTGGCATCATCATCCCTCACTTGCTGATCTTGGTGTAGCCAACCTTCTCCTTGTTTGGTTTCTTTAATTAATTAATTTTGGAGACAGAGTCTCACTCCTTTGCCCAGGCTGGAGTGAAGTGGTGTGGTCTAGGCTCACTGCAACCTCTGTCTCCTGGGTTCAAGTGATTCTCCTGCCCTCAGCCTCCCAAGTCGCTAGGATTACATGCACCTGCCACCACGCCCGGCTATCCTTGTGTCCTTTCTTAACTTTTCCTCGAGCTGGGTTCCGGTGTTGGTTTCCTGTTGCTGCTGTAGAAAATTATCAGCAGCATGGCAGCAGGAGAGAGCACACTGACCCCTTCCATTTCTGGAGGCAGAAGTTGGGCCCTGTTTTTCCTGGGCTAAAATCAAGGCACCTGTAGGGTTTCGTTCCCTCTGGAGACTCAGGAGAATCAGTTCCTTGACTTTTCCAGCCTCTATAGGCCACCTGCATTCATGGCTCCTGGCCTTCCTCCACCTTCAAAGCTGATGGAGACTCCCATTACGCTGCTCTAATCCCCACTCCCCTCTTCCTCCTCCTTTCCTGTGGACACTTGTCATTACACTGAGCCCAGGGGGACAGTCCAGGCCTTCTCCCCATCTCAAGGTCAACTCATCAACAACCTGAGCTCCATCTTCCCCTTCAGTCCCTTCCCCTATAACATAAATAGTCACAGACTCCAGGGATTAGAATGTAGTCATCACTGGGGACAATTATTCTTCCCACCACAGCACCCATTTCCCTGTATTCAATCCCCCTTTACCCCAAATACAGTCAGGGCCTGCGTGAAGGGACCCTCAAGGACATGCCTACCAGCAGCTCTGGGATTCAGGAGGTGGGACAAGGAGAATCCCAGACAGGAGCCCTCTGACCTGTGACCACGATCACCAGGGGGTTGCTGGGTGCCGACCCCCCACTGGGGGAGTGTGTGTGTGAACCCCGGCATCTATAGGTCCCTGTGTGTGACGGGGTCACAGGGCCCATGAAAAGGCTTTTCCAGAATATTCTGTTGTAGAGCTCAGGGACAGGCACCCCATCATCCTTGTACAGACTGAAGTTGTTAAACCCAAGATTAGAGTGACACCGAAGAGTCACATGTTCTGGAGGCACCACAAGGCTGGGCCAGGTAGAAAGCAAGGGCTTGTCCTGACCACCTTGGGGAGAAGGAGGCGCCGCCTTAGAGAGGAGGATGTGGAGCCGCCCCTCCCTCCCTGTGCTCAGAAGATTCTCCCCACTTTCCACATTTCTATGGCTGCTATCACACCTTGGTGCCTAGGGCTAAAGGAAGGACTCATCCCACAAAGACAAGCTGTCTCCCTACAACAAAAGTGTCAGCTGAGAACTTTGAGCAAGTGCTGAGTAAGAGACTCCTACTAGATTTTAATACTGTAAGATTACTCACATAAAACAACACAGGGTAGACATGGGGTGGAGGGCATGTCCTTTGAGAATGGAATATCAGCAGATGCCTGAATGAAAATAAACAACTGAGCCCCCATCAGAGGATTTGGAATGTCAGGGCCATGGCTGTGGTTTCCCACCTCTTCTGGTAGAATGACAGCAGCCACACTGCAGCCCCTACCGTCATGGAAACGCTGAAGTGTGTGAGTAACACCTTTGTCCTCAGAGGATCTGCTGTTCCTACCACTTTCCCACCACACACCCCAGCTTTGAGCACCCTAGTGTAACCCTGGTCCCCACAGAACTTGACTCTGCCAAGGAAATGAAAGGCCAGGGAGGCAAGGTCGGAACTGTGGGCCAAGCACCCCAGGGTCCCCTCTTTCTAGTTTAAGAGAGACTCCCTGACAGGACTTCCCTCCCGTTTCAGGAAAATCCTCTTATGTGGGGAGATGACACCTTAAGGTTTGGAGAAGGACTTACCCTCATGTGGCCAGGCCCCCTGCAGCAAGAAGAACGCTGGAAAGAAAGATCATGATGGACCATCCATCTGCAGGCAAACCAGGCCTTCCTTGCTATCCCCACTAGGCTGTGAGTCTTGGTAGCCAGGCCCTTCCTGGGCCGAAGGGAAACTCACCCTCAGTGCCTACCTGCACCCAAGAACAGGGCTCTCGGCTGTGCAGAGACCCAGCCTCCATTCCCATATCCCTACCCCAAGCCCATATCTCCACTCCAGGCACATATCTCCACTCCAGGCTGATATTCCCACCCTAGGCCCATATAGCCAATCTGGGCCCACATCTCCAATCCAGGCTCAGATCTCCACCCTAGGTCCATAACTCCAGTCCAGGCCCATATCTCCACTCCAGGCCCATATCTCCTCCCCAGGCCCATATCTCCACTCCAGGCCCATATCTCCACCCCGGGCCCAGATCTCCACCTCCAGGCCCATAACTACACTCCAGGATCATATCTCCACTCCAAGCCCATATCTCCACAACAGGTCCATATCTCCACTCCAGTCCCATATCTCCACCCCACGCCCATATCTCCACTCCAGGCCCATATCTCCATTCCAGGCCCATATCTCCACCCCACGTCCATATCTCCACTCCAGGCACATATCTCCACCCCACGCCCATATCTCCACTCCAGTCCCATATCTCCACTCCAGGCCCATATCTCCACCCCACGCCCATATCTCCACTCCAGTCCCATATCTCCACCCCACGCCCATATCTCCACTCCAGTCCCATATCTCCACCCCATGCCCATATCTGCACTCCAGTCCCATATCTCCACCCCACACCCATATCTCCACTTCAGTCCCATATCTCCACTCAAGGCCCATATCTCCACCCCACGCCCATATCTCCACTCCAGGCCCATATCTCCACTCCAGGCCCATATCTCCACCTCCAGGCCCATATCTCCACTCCAGGCCCATATCTCCATCTCCAGGCTCATATCTCCACTCCAGGCCCATATCTCCACTCCAGGCCCTTATCTCCACCTCCAGGCCCATATCTCCACTCCAGACCCACATCTCCACTCCAGGGCCATATCTCCACTCCAGGTCCATATCTGCACCTCCAGGCCCATATCTCCACTCCAGGCCCATATCTCCACCTCCAGGCCCATAACTTCACTCCAGGCCCATAACTCCACTCCAGGCCCATATCTCTACTCCAGTCCCATATCTCCACTCCAGTCCCATATCTCCACCCTAGGCTCCTACCTCCCATCCAGGTTCCTATCTCTTCTCCAGGTTCCTCTCTCCACTCCAGGCCCATATCTCCACTGCAGGCCCATATCTCCACTCCAGACCCAGATCTCCACTTCTAGGCCCATCACTCCATCTCTAGGCCCATATATCCCCTCCAGGCCCAGATCTCCACTCCAGGCCCATAACTCCACCTCCAGGCCTATATCTCCACCTCTGGGCCCAGATCTCCATCCCCGCGCTCCCTCCCTCTATTCCCTTCCAGGACTCACCAACACACGCCATGCTGATGACCATGAGCGACATGGTGCTGCCGGTGCAGACAGGCGGCCGCACCCCTAGCTCAGCTCAGCAGCGCACAGGATGTTATTTGGCGCCCTGCCCATGCAGTTTACATGTTGACCACATCACGGGAGGGTGACGTACGCAGGCTCTTTCTACCTTGCATGAGGCCCAGTGGGTGCTTGCTCAAGAGCGGAACACGGCTTCCTGGAAATTGTTCTCACTAGAATTTACACCTAGCGTCCTTCACTATGACCAACTCAAAACACGTCTCAGATCCAACCTCCCGAACACAAGATGCCTAAAATCTGTGCTAACGTGAAAGACTTTTCATGTATTTTTATTGTTTTTATCTGAGATTCAAACTCTTCTTCCTGTGTAATATGCAAAGTATCTAATAGGTATTATTAATGTTTTCGGAGTCATTGTGACTAATAAACCATTAGAATTTTTCATGCTTGTATTTCTAGTATTACAGCAAAACCAGTTAAAATGATTTAAATTCCCAGGAAAGGATTATGCAATTATTTACAATCTTCGAATTGTACTTTATCAGCAAAAACCACACATGTAAATTCTGGATTTTTATAGTTTTATCTATAATTTGTCTCATGACCCAAGATTCCAGAGTCCCAACTCTGGAGTTTGCTCCCTCTCTGTCTCTGTCCCTCCCTCATTTTAAATTTTACGGAAATATCCAGTAACATAATGCTATAGAAAATCAAGTTTCCCCCAGCATGTTTGGAAGCCGAGGTGGGCGAATCAACTGAGATGAGGAGTTTGAGAGCAGCCTGGCCAACATAGTGAAACCGTGTCTCTGCTAAACATTCAAAAATTAGCCGTGCCTGGTGGCAGACACCTGTAATGCCATCTACTCAAGAGGCTGAGGCACGAGAATCGCTTGAACCTGGGAGGCGGAGTTTGCAGTGAGCTGAGATTGCACTACTACAGTCCAGCCTGGGTGACAGAGCAAGATTCCGCCTTAAGAAAAAAAAAATAGCAAGTAGCCTATAATAACAAATTAGAGGGCTCTGGCTACTAAATTTAAAGGGTTTTATAAGGCTACATGAAGTGCAGCATCCTCAAGAGTGTGGACACAGAGAGCCCCTTAGCAGAAACAGTGTCTAAAATACATCCGTGTACACACAGTCCCTTTAGAGTTGACAAAGGCTGCCCTGTGGTTTAAGGTGGCATAGAATGTCTTCTCAATAAATAATATTAAACCAAAGGGTTACACGTAGGAAAAAATAAATCTAAACTTATTCTCACACTATAAAAACACTTCTTGTTTTTATCTAGTTTATAATTTTTTTATGATTTATATTTAAAATTTAGAAATAACAGTTTTATACGGTCATCCTTCACTATTCCTGGGTGATTGGTTTCAGGATCTCCACTCAGATACCAAAATCTGCAGATGCTGAAGCCTCTTACATGAAATGGCACAGCGCTTGCATATAACCCATGCACATCCTCCTGTATACATGAAATCATCTCTAGATTACTTATAATTCCTGATATGGCCTACACACTGCTTCATTTGTGTCCCTTCAACATAGTTTTGCTTTTTGAAAGTTTGTGGATTTTCTTCTCTGAATATTTTTTATTTATAGTTGGTTCAATAAACACCTGTAAACCCCACAGATACGGAGGAGCGACTGTATATATATATATAGCATGAAAGATGATGTGTTGATATGTGTCCCCATGGAGATGAGACTAACAAGGCCTATGACTCTACAAATGTTTCATCGTGGAATGACTCTGCCAGCTTTCCAGGTCTGCAGAGAGTAAGAATATCACTTGTTCATGTGATTCATGATCCTTGGAACCTCCTATGTGCTGCATCTTTGGATGGAAATTGGAGTCCCAGAGACAAATGAGGCTCCACCCTGCTTCCAGAAGCTCAGAGTCCAGGGGAGAGAACCCAGTGGATAACAGATGGGGTTATGTGGACATGGTAATGATAACAGCGGTTTCTTTCAGCGAATAGTGTCACATTACCTAAAGCAATGAGGGCAGACATGTTTATTTGAAAAGGAGACAGCTACATTGAAATCACAAAAAATTTTATAAGTTTCACTGCTGACTGACAGAAGGCTGGAAAATAGTCTGAGGAAAGGTGAAACAGCATGAGGGAAGGTGGAACAGCACGTGTCTCAGTGCCATGTTAAGAGGGAGCCTCTTGTATGTCTGGAATTGTGAGTTCCTCAGTGTGATTGCAGCCTCAAGTAGACTAGGAAGTAAGCCAGTTCAGTTGGAGAGGTGGGCAGGGGTCAAGTGAAATAGAGAATTGTGGGCTAAGCAAAGGAGTGTGTCTTCTCTCCAGCAGGCAGTGGGGACCTTAGACATTTGTAAGCAAGAGAGAGGCATGTTCAGATTTGTGGTGTGAGGAAGAGCGATCCCCTAAGATGAAGACTGATGCCTTCAGATTCCAGCTGCTGGTACATGGGAGCTAGCAACCCGGTTTTGAGACAGGGCTGTTGTCTCCCTAGAAGATCCCCTCAAGGCCTGACTGTGGTGCTTATGGGCAGGAGACAATGATCTTGGCTTAGCATTTGGAAGTTCCATGTACATGGTGGTATCTGTTGGAGGTGTCTTGGGCCTCTGAGAAGGGGAAGTGATTTTTGTCTGTGTGAAAACGCAGTGATCCAACTGTGCATATGTCACCTCCTGAGGGTCTTGATCATCAGAGTCCTGGAGAGAGGGAAATGCTGAGTGAGGGAGGGTGCTCACATTCTTCAAGACTATTAGGGAATGAGACTCAATCCATGAGGCTGGGCTGAGGAGAACCTACCTCCCTGTTCACTGTTCTGTCCCCGGCAGGCTCTTGGTCCATTACAGCAGCATCTGTAGGAGATAGAAGTCATCAAAACAGCTGGAAGGGCACTTTTGGGTCCTCATTTCATGAGCAGACACCAACACACAGCGGGAGGCCGTAGGTGCCTGAGGTCCCTCAGCTGTCATCAGCCAGACCCAGACATTCTATCTCTCTGAGCTCAAGGACCCATCCCATGAATAGCTCTGAGTTCCCATCCCAGTGATTCTGTCTCCCCTTTCTGCCTGTCATGGAACCTTCTCCTGGATGTCAGTGGCTGCAGGGGACGTGAGGATACAGTTCAGAATCAGGCAATGGTCTGTGAGCTGAAGGCAGGGGCAGGGTGTCTGGTGCTCTCTCTAGAAAGCCCTGCCTCTGTGGCTCCTGCCTTGGTCCAGGGACCATCCTGCCAGTCAGGAACACACACCAGTGTGCTCCCATCCTGCTTCCCCACATGGTCCTGAGCTCTCTGACCTCTGCTTCGTGAGACTTACTCTTTTTGTTGGAGCAGCAGCAATGAAGGAGAAAGAAGAAGAGGATGATGAAGAGGATGATAGCCACTGAGGTCCCAATCAGAATGTGCAGGTGTCTGCGGATACCTGGGGGAAGGTGGGAATCCAATAAGAAGCTAATTATAGCAGTTCCTCTTTATGGATTGTCTCTCATTTCTTGGTTGCCAGCTAAGCACATACAACATCTGTTTAGGACAAGTTCCCCGATGGCAGGATACCCAGCTTTCTCCTGCTTTCTCAGTTATAGTTCTCAAAATAATCAGAGAACATGCTGGGGATACCACTGCTATAGTTTGGATGTTTGACCCCGCCAAACCTCACGTTGACACTTATCTCGCAGTGTGGGAGGCTGGGCCTATTGAGAGACGTTCCAGTTATGGGGGTGGATCCATCATGAATACATTAATGCTGTCCCCATGAGACGTGGTTGGCAAGTTCTCCATGAGGTCCCTAGGACTGGTTGCTAAAAAGAGCATGGGGTTTCTCCATGTTGGCCAGGCTGGTCTCAAACTCCTGACCTCAAGTGATCCAAACGCCTTGGCCTCCCAAAGTGTTGGGTTACAGGCGTAAGCTCCCATTCACAGACTTGTATATTATGCTATAATAAGTCCCTTCATTTGCACCACCCCTCATCTATCTATCAATCACTCCTCTGCCAGATATTGATTTACATGTAGGAAAAATAAATCTCAGAAAGAAATTAATATATTCAAAATTAAATAAGTAGGCATTATCAAATCCAGCAAGCCCTCCCTACAAATGATTCTACCTCACAGACATATCTTATACCCATCTACTTCATTCATTTAGTGTCTAAATCAGCACCACATTTCACCAGTGGGGCGGGAATTGCCTTTTCCACGGTCTCCTAGATTCCAGTTACGCACTTGGGCGTCCTTATTTTCATGTCAGTCATATTAATCATGTAGGGATTCCTGGCTACCCCGAGGTGAATCCAATGGCTGTGAGTGTCAAACACACGCTCCTTGTTCCTCCTTAGTTTCCTGTGTACCCAGAGTGCTCTCCGTCTCTCCACAGTCGTCTTGTCATTCTCCCCACTTCATTCCCAGCATTTGAATGCAGAGCCTCTTCCTTCCACATCAGATTGTTTTCACATTTGTGCCTTCACGGCTGACAGCTGTGTGTGGAAAATCCTTCCGCCAATCTTCCAGGGGTTGAATCTACTTTTTTTTTTCATTATGGTCACAAATATTATCTGATTAGTGAGACTTTCTCTGTCTCCTGAAATTATACACTTAGAATTCTTTATTATTTATTTTAAATTTCGGCTGGGCGCAGTGTCTCACACCTTGAGTCCCAGCATTTTGGGATGCTGAGACGGTCGGATCACTTGAGGTTGGGAGTTGGAGACAATCTGCGCAACATGGTGAAACTCCATCTCTACTAAAAAATATAAAAGAATATTAGCTGGGTGTGGTGGAGGGGACTGGAATCACAACTAGTCAGGAGGCTGAGGCAGGAGAATCGCCTGAACCCGGGAGGCGGAGGTTGTGGTGAGCTGAGGTCATGCCACTGCACTCCAGCCCGGGGACAGAGAATGACTTCGCCGCAAATAAATAAATACATAAATAGATAAATAGATAAATAAATAGGTAAATAGATTTCATGCACGGATGCTTCCCAATGGATCAATCATTACTGGTCCACTTGTGCATTCATATTCTGCCCTCCCATTTGCCCATCTGCAATGTCAGTGTCCTAAGAGCAGAGGCCAAATGCATCGTGTTTACCATTTGTGGAAGGCAGGAGAATGCTGGCCCACCCCCAAAATGTCCCTGTCCTAGCCTCCATGGCTTGTGAATATGTTATTTTACATGAAAGGAGGAATAAAGATTGCAGATGGAATTATGGTTGCTAATCAGCTGAACTTAAAAAGAGGTTATCTTGGGTGATTTTAGGGAGATTGTGATGGATTATCTTGGTAAACTCAATAGAATCCCAAAGTCTTTAAAAGAGGAAGAAAAAGTCAGAGCAACACTTAGAGAAAGAGGTGAGGTAAGGAAGAGGGATCTGAGTGATGCCACGTGAGAGATGTGATGAGCTTTTGTGGGCTTCGAGGAAGGAGGATGGGGACCAGATGCCAAGGAGCGTGGGAACCTCTGGGAGCTGGGAAATGTGAAAAGCCGATTCTCGCCTGGAACCTTCAGAGAAAAGGCAGCCTCGCAGTCACCTTGATTTTAGCCCAGTGAAATGCATTTCATATTTCTGAGCTATAACACTGTAAGATAATTTTAAAAGCTGTGTTGTTGTCATCCATGAAGATTGTGGAGATTTATTATGGCAACAGCAGGAAAGGGTTCCACACTGTACAGTCAGAGCACAGGGCAGTGGCTGAATAAGTGAGTAAGTGGAAGTGTCATATTTGTGGATGAACTACGTTCCTTCTTACTGCAAGGCTCTTGCTCTGCTGACTCAGCCAAGGTCGCATCATGACCAACAGGGGCTCATTCCTTGGCAAGTGGAACTTCTCTAAATCACCTTTCCCTCATCAGATGTTCCCTTCCCCTCCCTCTCTCAAGTCCCCTCAAATTTATCCTCCAATTTGGAATGCAGGCAGAAAAAACACCACTTTATCCCTGAGAAGGATGTCAGATTTGTACTCGTCCGTCTAGCTTGGAGGAGGTCTCAGCTGCAGAAATTTGAAATGAAGAGACTTCACTGAGCCCTTTGCTGTCCTCAGATACCCTTCGCTGTTGTAGTGTCTGGGGGTCAGAGATGTTAGAAGACAGGCCCACAATCACAGAGCTGGGAGGTGCTGAGCCAATGCTTGAATCCAAGATACCAACCTCCCCAGGTTTCCAAAAGCAGAGATAAGAGGGATCTTTACTCACCAGTTTTGGAGCTTGGTTCAGTGGGTGAAGATGAACTACTTGAAGAGTTTCCTAGAACACAGGACAGGAGAGAGGTGAGGAAATGAGGATGCCTGTCTTCTACTCAAAGGAAATCTTTGAGGTTGGTTCATGGCCAACACTCTGTTATCTAATGTTGGGCCCTAGGAGTCCTGGCGTCCCCTTCTCCATCATCATTGTTAAATGATGCCCAGTGTCCTGAGATTTCGAGGTATAAAGACAAAACAGGTGCTGGAGGCCTCACACTCCCTGACTTAAAAATATGTTACAAAGCTGTAGTAAGCACAACAGCATGACATTGGCATAAAGGCCCTTAGAGCAATGGAGCAGAATGAAGAACACAGATATAATTCATGCATTCACATCCAATGGACTTTGACGATTGTACGTGCCAAGAACCTGCAATCAGGAAACGACGGTCTTTTCAATAAATGGAGCAGGGAAAACTGGTATCTACATGCAGTTGATGAAACTGCACCTCTACCTCTCACCATACACAGAAATCAAATGAAAATGGAAGAAACACTTAAGGCCTGAAACCATTAAGCGTCTAAAAGGAAAGAGTGGGGAAATGCTCCAGGACATTTGTCTGAGGAAAGACATTTTATTTGAAATCTCAAAAACACAAGAAATCAAAACAAAATAATAGACCTTCGGGATTACATCAAAGTAAGCAGCTTCTGCACCGCAAAGGAAGCAACCAACAAAGTGAAGAAGAGACAAATTGGGAGAAAATATTTGTGAAGTATGCATCTGAGAGGGGATTAATAACTAGAATATACATAAAACTCAAGCAACGGTATAAAACAATGAATTTAATTTAACAATTAGTAAAAGACCTGAACAGACATTTCTCAACAAACAAAACGTACAAATGGCGAACATGTACATGAAAAAGTGCTCAGTATCACTAATCATGCCAATTGAAATCACAGTGAGCTATCATCTCATCCCATTAAAGTGGCTTTTATCTGAAACACAGACAAAATAAATGCTGGCAAGGTGGTAGAGAAAGGAGAACCCTGGTACCCTGTTGATAGGATCTAGCAATTCCACTACTGGGTGTAAACCCAAAGGGAAGGACATCAGTGTATCGAAGTGATATCTGCACTCATACGATTGGTGCAGCACTGTTCACAGTAGCCAAGATGTGGAGTCAACTTACCTGCCCGTCAGTGGGTGAATGGATAGAGAGAATGTAGTACACACACACAGTGGAGAGTACTCATCCGTAGAAAGAATAACATCCTGACATTTGCAGCCACATGGATGGAACTGGAGGTCATTGCAAAGATTCCCATTTCTCACCCATATACAGGAGCTAAAAGGTGGATCTCATGAAGGTAGAGAGTAGAATGGTGGCTACCAGAGGGCAGGAAGTAAAGGGTGGAGTGTAACAACAACAATAAAAAAGAATATAGATGTATTTATTTATTTAGAGACAGAATCTCTCTCTGTCTCCCAGGCTGCAGTGCAGTGGCCTGATCTCAGCTCAGTGCAACCTCTGCCTCCTGGGCTTACGTACTTCTCCTGCCTCAGCCTCCCATGTAGCTAGGAATACAGGTGCATGCCAGCATGCCCAGCCAATTTTTCTTGTCTGTTTAGTAAAGATGAATTTCCCTCATGTTGGCCAGGCTGATCTCGAGCCTCTGATCTTAAATGATCCACCTTCCTTGGCCTCTCAAAGCACCGAGATTATAACTGTGAGCCACTGCACCCTGCATATAAAGGAATTTATGACCACTAGATTTTACTTTTAAAAATGGTAAAGGTGGCAAATTATATAGTTACATTTAACCTAAATAAATGTTTTTTCAAACGGAAAGAAAAGGGTGTAGGGGTTGCTGGTGATGACATCTCTGTGTGGGTGAGAGGCCAGTATGGGCTTCTGGGAAATGGGTAAGGTTTAGGGTCTGAGGGAGCCTCTGATCTCCCCAAACTGAGCCGAGTCTCCCTCCTCTGGGTCTGTCCTGACCACTTTCTCCATCTGCCTGGGTGCCTGGAGCCCTGGCCGCGGGCCTCCATGCAGGCCGTGCAGGAGGGTTTGGAGGTGCCCTGTCTGCCATCCTGTGCCCTGATCCCTCCCTCACACCATGCTGCGTGTTCTCTCTGCATCTGTCCATGCTTCTCTCCATCATCAGCAGGAAGCTCCTCAGCTAAGGCTCTAGGATCACAGGACATGGGACAGGCATGGGCTTTCCTCACCTGTGACAGAAACAAGCAGTGGGTCACTCGGGTCTGACCACTCATAGGGTGAGTCATGGAGAGAGCCGAAGCATGTGTAGGTCCCTCCGTGGGTGGCAGGGCCCAGAGGAAAGTCAGCCTGGAATGTTCCATTGACGCTGGGCACTGCAGGGAGCCTAGGTTCATGGGCCCTCCCCTCCCTGGATAGATGGTACATGTCAAATGAGCTCCTGGAGCTGCAGGACAAGGTCACGTTCTCTCCTGTGCGAACCGTGGGGCCCGGCTGGGCTGAGAGTGAAGGTTTCCCAAATAGACCTGGAAGAAGAGGCAGTTTCCTCAGGGAGGTTCTTCCTTGTCACAGCTCCCCTCACACCTGAGCTGAGAACTCACTCCCCTGCTCTATGACCTAATGCTCTCTCTCTCTCTCACCCTCCACCCCCGACTCTCCCTGTGGATCCCTCCCTATGCGGCTCCAGCCTGGTGGTGGCATCAGCAGTGCACCCTTGCTGACCTTAGGGTAGCCAACCCTCTTGTTTGGTTTTTTAACTTGTCCTTGACCTGGATTCCTGTGTTGTTTCCTGTTGTTGCTGCAGAAAATTATCACAAACACGGCGGCGGGAGAGAACACTTCTGTTGACAGAAATCAGACCCTGTTCTTCCTGGGCTACAATCAAGGCATCTGCAGGGCTGCATTCCCTCTGGAGACTCGGGAGAATCAGTTCCATTGACTTCTCCAGCCCCTAAAGGCCACCTGCATTCCGTGGCTTCTGGCCTTCCTCCACTTTCAAAGCCCGCAGTGGCTGGTGGACTCTCCCTCCCACTACGCTGCTCTAATCCCCACTCTCCTCTTCCTCCTCCTCTCATGTGGACCCTTGTGATTACACTGAGCCCAGTGGGAGAGTCCAGGTCGTCTCCCCATCTCAAGGTCAACTCATCAACAACCTGAACTCCATCTTCCCCTTCAGTCCCATGTCCTATAACATAAATAGTCACAGGCTCCAAGGATTACAATATAGCCATGCTGCCGACAGTTACTCTTTCCACCACAGCACCCATTCCCCTGTATTCAATCCCCATTGACACCAAATACAGTCAGGGCCTGGATGATTGGACCCTGGTGGACACCCCCACCAGATGCTCTGGGATTCAGGAAGTGGGAGAAGGAGAAGCCCAGACATGAGTCCTCTGACCTGTGACCACGATCACCAGGGGGTTGCTGGGTGCTGACCACTCAATGGGGGAGCGTGGGTGTGAACCCCGACATCTGTAGGTCCCTGCGTGTGCAGGGGTCACAGGGCCCATGAGGATGCTCTTCCAGAATATTTTGTTGTAGAGCTCAGGGACAGGCACCCCATCTTCTTTGTACAGACTGAAGATGGTAAACCCAAGACGAGAGCGACACAGAAGAGTCACATGTCCTCCTCGAGGCACCACAGCGCTGGGCCAGGCAGACAGCAAGGGCTTGTCCTGACCACCTGGGGGAGAAGGAGGCGCCACCTTAGAAAGGAGGATGTGGAGCCGCCCCTCCCTGCCAGTGCTCAGAAGATTCTCCCCACTTTCCTCGTTTCTAAGGCTCCTACCACACTTGGGTGCCCATGGGTACGGGAAGGACCCACCCCGCATAGACTTGGCGTCTCTCTACAACAAAAGTGTCAGCTGAGAACTTTGAGCAAGTGCTGAGTAAGGGACTCCTACTAGATTTTAATACTGCAAGATTACTCACATAAAACAACACAAATAGACATGGGGTCGAGGGCATGTTCTTTGTGAATGGAATATCAGCCAATGTGTGAACCACAATACACAACTGAGCCCCCAACAGAGGATTTGGAAGGTCAGGGCCCTGGCTGGGGTTCCCCCACCTCTGAGGTAGAATGACAGCAGCCACACTGCAGCCCCTACCGTCATGGAAACGCTGGAGGGTGTGAGTTACACCTTTGTCCTCAGAGGCCTGCTGTTCCTAGCACTGCTTTGCTCCCTTCCTCTGCCAGTGACACCACATCCCAGCCGCACAGCCCAGCTTGGAGGACCCCAGTCTACCCTCCCGGGTTCCCACAGAACCTGACTCAGCCAAGGGAAAGGAAGGCTGGGGAGGGCAAGGTCGGAACTGTGGGCTGAGCACCCCAGGGTCTCCTCATCCTTGTTTATAAGAAAATCCCCCACCGGGCTTCCCTCCTGTTTCAGGAAAATCCTCTTATGTGGGGAGATGACACCCGAAGGTTTGGAGAAGGACTCACCCTCATGTGTCCAGGCCCCCTGCAGCAAGAAGAACCCTGGAAAGAAAGATCATGATGGACCATCCATCTGCAGGCAAACCAGGACTCCCTTGCTGCCCCCACTGGGCTGTGAGTCTTGGTAGCCAGGCCCTTGCTGGGCTGAAGGGAAACTCACCCTCAGTGCCTGCTTGCACCCAAGAACAGGGCTGTCGGCTGTGTAGAGACCCAGCCTCCAGGCCCATATCCGCACCCCAGGCCCCTATCCCCACCCCAAGCCCATATCTCCACTCCAGGCCCATATCTCCACTCCAGGCCAATATTTCCACCCTAGACCCATATCTCCAATCCAGGCCCATATCTCCACCCCAAGCCCATATCTCCATCCTAGGCCCATATGTCCACTCCAGGCCCAGATATCCACCTCTAGGCCCATATCTCCACCTCCAGGCCCATATCTCCACCTCCAGGCCCATGTCTCCACTCCAGGCCCATATCTCCATCCCAGGCCAATATCTTCACTCCAGGCTCCTATCTCCCCTCCGGGTTCCTATCTCCACTCCAGGCCCAGATCTCCACTCCAGGCCCATATCTCCACCTCCAGGCCCATATCTCCACTCCAGACCCAGATCTCCACTTCTAGGCCCATCACTCCATCTCCAGGCCCATATATCCACTCCAGGCCCAGATCTCCACTCCAGGCCCATAACTCCACCTCCAGGCCTATATCTCCACCTCTGGGCCCAGATCTCCATCCCCGCACTCCCTCCCTCTATTCCTTTCCAGGACTCACCAACACACGCCATGCTGATGACCATGAGCGACATGGTGCTGCCGGTGCAGACAGGCGGCCGCGCCCCAGCTCAGCTCAGCAGCGCACAGGATGTTATTTGGCGCCCTGCCCATGCAGTTTACATGTTGACCACATCACGGGAGGGTGACGTACGCAGGCTCTTTCTACCTTGCATGAGGCCCAGTGGGTGCTTGCTCAAGAGCGGAACACGGCTTCCTGGAAATTGTTCTCACTAGAATTGGCACCTCGCGTCCTTCACTATGACCAACTCACAACACGTCTCAGATCCAACCTCCCGAACACAAGATGCCTAAAATCTGTGCTAACGTGAAAGACTTTTCATGTATTTTTATTGTTTTTATCTGAGATTCAAACTCTTCTTCCTGTGTAATATGCAAAGTATCTAATAGGTATTATTAATGTTTTCGGAGTCATTGTGACTAATAAACCATTAGAATTTTTCATGCTTGTATTTCTAGTATTACAGCAGAACCAGCTAAAATGATTTAAATTCCCAGGGAAGGATTATGCAATTATTTACAATCTTAGAATTGTACTTTATCAGCAAAAACCACACCTGTAAATTCTGGAGTTTTGTAGTTTAATCTAAAATTTGTCTCATGACCCAAGATTCCAGAGTCCCAACTCTGGAGTTTGATCTCTCTCTGTCTCTCTCCCTCCCTCGTTTTAAATTTTACAGAAATATCCAGTAACATAATGCTATAGAAAATCAAGTTTTCCCCAGCACGTTGGGAAGCCGAGGTGGGCGGATCAACTGAGATAAGGAGTTTGAGAGCAGCCTGGTCAACATAGTGAAACCGTGTCTCTGCTAAAAATCCAAAAATTAGCCGTGCCTGGTGGCAGGCACCTGTAACGCCAGCTGCTCAAGAGGCTGAGGCACGAGAATCGCTTGAACCTGGGAGGTGGAGGTTGCAGTGAGCTGAGATTGTGTCACTGCAGTCCAGCCTGGGCGACAGAGCAAGACTCCGCCTCAAGAAAAAAAAAGCAAATAGCCTATAATAACAAATTAGAGGGCTCTGGCTACTAAATTTAAAGGGTTCTATAAGGCTACATAAAGTGCAGCGTCATCAAGAGTGTGGACACAGAGAGCCCCTTAGCAGAAACAGTGTCTAAAATACATCCATGTACACACAATCCCTTTAGAGTTGACAAAGGCTGCTGTGTGGTTTAAGGTGGCATAGAATGTCTTCTCAATAAATAATATTAAACCAATGGGTTACACCTAGTAAAAAATAAATCTAACTGACACTATAAAAACACTTCTTAGTTTTTATCTAGTTGTACATTTTTTATGATTTATATTTAAATTTGAGAAATAAAAGTCATATACGGTCATCCTTCACTATTCGTGGGTGATTGGTTTTGAGATCTCCACTCAGATACCAAAATCTGTAGATGCTCAAGCCTCTTATATGAAATGGCACAGCATTTGCAAATAACCTATGCACATCCTCCTGTATACATGAAATCATCTCTAGATTACCTATAATTCCTGATACAGCCTACACACAGCTTCATTTGTGTCCATTTAACATAGTTATGCTTTTTGAAACTCTGTGGATACTTTCTCTCAATATTTTTGATTTATACTTGGTTCAATAAACACCTGTAAACCCCGCAGATATGGAGGAGTGACCGTATATTTATATTATGAAAGAAGATGTGTTGATATGTGTCCCCATGGAGATGAGACTAACAAGGCCTATGACTCTACAAATGTTTCATTGTGGAATGACTCTGCCAGCTTTCCAGGTCTGCAGAGAGTAAGAGTATCACTTGTTCATGTGATTCGCGATCCTTGGAACCTCCTATGTGCTACATCTTTGGATGGAAATTGGAGTCCCAGAGACAAATGAGGCTCCACCCTGCTTCCAGAAGATCAGAGTCCAGGGATGAGAACTCAGTGGGGAACAGATGGGATTATATGGACATGGTACTGATAACACCGGAAGCCTTAGGCAAGAAAAGAGTCCCATTACCGAAACCATGGGGGCAGACATGTTTATTTGAAGGATGGAAAACTACATTGAAGTTATTTTAAAAAGTATATAAGTTTTACTGCTGACAGAAGGCTGAAAGCTAGTCTGAGGGGAGGTGGAACAGCATGAGGGAAGGTGGAACAGCACGTGTCTAAGTGCTGCGTTAAGACGGAGCCTCTTGTATGTGTGGAATTGTGAGTTCCTCAGTGTGATTGCAGCCTCAAGTAGACTAGGAAGTAAGCCAGTTAGGTTGGAGAGGTGGGCAGGGGTCAAGTGAAATGGAGAACTGTGGGCTAAGCAAAGGAGTGTGTTTTTTCTCCAGCAGGCAGTGGGGACCTTAGACATTTGTAAGCAAGTGAGAGGCACATTCAGATTTGTGGTGTGAGGAAGAGCGATGCCCTAAGATGAAGACTGATGCCTTCAGATTCCAGCTGCTGGTACATGGGAGCTGGCAACCCAGTTTTGAGACAGGGCTGTTGTCTCCCTAGAAGATCCCCTCAAGGCCTGACTGTGGTGCTCGTGGACAGAAGACAACTTTGGATCTGGGCTCAGCATTTGGAAGTTCTATGTACATGCTGGTATCTGTTGGGGGTGTCTTGGGCCTCTGAGAAGGGCGAGTGATTTTTCTCTGTGTGAAAACACAGTGTTCCAATTATGCGTATGACACCTCCTGATGGTCTTGTTCATCAGAATCCTGGAGAGAGGGAAATGCTGAGTGAGGGAGGGTGCTCACATTTTTCAGGACTCTTTGGGAATAACACTAGCCACGAGGCTGGGCCGAGGAGCACCTACCTCGCTGTTCACTTCTGTTCCCTGCAGGCTCTTGGTCCATTACAGCAGCATCTGTAGAAGACGGAAGTCAACAAAAGAGCTCGGAGGGCACTTCTGGGTCCTCATTTCATAAGCAGATACCAACAAACAGGGGGAGGCCATAGGTGCCTGAGGTCCCTCAGTTGCCAACAGCAGACTCAGACATTCTATCTCTCTGAGTTCAAGGACCCATCCCATGAATAGCTCTGAGGTCCCATTCCATTGATTCTATCTCCCACTTTCTGCCTGTCATGGAACCTTCTCCTGGATGTGAGTGGCTGCAGGGGACGTGAGGATACAGTTCAGAATCAGGCAATGGTCTGTGAGCTGAAGGCAGGGGAAGGGAATCTGGTGCTCTCTCTAGAAAGTCCTGCCTCTGTGGCTCCTGTCTTGGGCCAGGGACCATCCTGCTGGTGAGGAACACACACCCGTGTGCTCCCATCCTGCTTCCCCACATGGCCCTGAGCTCTCTGGCCTCTGCTTCGTGAGACTTACTTTTTTTTGTTGGAGCACCAGCGATGAAGGAGAAAGAAGAGGAGGATGGTGAAAGGGATTTTGACCACTGAGGTCCCAATCAGAATGTGCAGGTGTCTGAGGTTACCTGGAAGAAGAGGAGACACCAATAAGAAGCTAATCATAGCAGTTCCTCTTTATGAATTGTCTTGCATTTCTTGATTCACAGGTAACCACATACAGCGTCTCTTTAGGACAAGCACCCAGATGGCGGGAGACCCAGCTTCCTCCTGCTTTCTCAGTTATAGCTCTCATAGTAACCATAGAACGTGCTGAGGATACCACTACTTTAGTTGAGATGTTTGACCCCTTCAAACCTCAGATTGAAATTTACCCCCCAGTGTGGGAGGGTGGGCCTCTTGGGAGGTGTTTGAGTCATGGGGGTGGATACATCATGAACAGATCAATGCTGTTTTAAGGAGACGGGGTTAGCAAGTTCTCCCTCTATTAGTTCCTGGAGAGCTGGTTGTTCATAAGAGCTTGGAAGCTCCATCACTCCCCCTCTCCCTTGCTCCCTCTCTTGCCGTGTGATCTCTGTGGTCTCTGCACAGACAGACCCTCCTTCCCTTCTGCCAGAGTGGGAGCAGCCTGAGGCAGTCACAAGAAATAGATGCTGGTGCCATGCTTCCAGTACAGCCTGCGGAACTGTAAGGCAAACCAAAATCTTTTGTTTAGAAGTTACCCAGGCTCAAGTGTTCCTTTAGAGCAACAAAAATGGACTAAGACAGCAACGTCCTGAGATCAGGAGGAAAGTCCCAGAACAGCCTGGGCTGTCTTCCTGTTCTTCCTGGAGGAGGACGTGATGCAGTGCTTTAGCTGAGTGCTTCCTGTGGCTCCAGGGTACAAAACCCAGGTTGGGCTGCTTTCTGGCTTCCCCCAGCTACACTGCAAATGGGGTGACTCCACATGTCTCGAGCAGCTTTTCTGAGCCTTGGGGAACTGGCTCACATTGAAATGTAGGCTTCTGTTGTCACTCGCTGCTTATCTGTTAGTAATGAACCTGCCTGTGTAATGTGTTCTCTGTGTGTTCTGTCTCCCTGGAGTGACGGTGAGTGATAGGAATTGGCATAGGCCCAGGTGCAGTCCAGGAGGTGTTTAGAGTCTTCTCTGGGAAGACTGGACTGGGATTGATACACAGCGAATGTGCTTTAGGATTTCTACATCCACGGCATTCTTGAGTTAAACAACTTGCATTCTCCAAGAAAAGGAAACAAAAGTGAAATCAAGATCAAAAATGCGAAGTAGAATTCTCTTATGTCAAACAGCCAGAAAATAGTGTTGAAGCCCGTGTGAAATGTGCTATTCTTTGTGATCTCGGGAGACACATGTTAGGCTGCTGTTCTACCTGACAGGCTGGGGGAAGGACCACCCCCTCGACTATCTATTGCTTCAATACCACCTGTCCTCCTGTGAATTAGTAGGAAAGGGGAGCAGGAGCTAGTGCTGGCACTGATCTCTGATTCCAAGATCTGGACTCACTCCAAGGAGTATTAGCATTTACCTCCCCATGGTCTATCTGTATCTGCACAGGTGATTGGAAGTAGGGGTGAGGTGGGGGATTTGGGTGAGGGGGCAAGTTTTTTTTGTGATGACCAGAGCACTTTCTCTATTCCAGGATTTGTGCTGGAGGATTCAGCGGGCTTTCACATTTTCTATATGATCTCATGCTCACA
This sequence comes from Homo sapiens, assembly GCF_000001405.40. Taxonomy (NCBI): domain Eukaryota; kingdom Metazoa; phylum Chordata; class Mammalia; order Primates; family Hominidae; genus Homo; species Homo sapiens. The sequence goes on along the minus strand of NW_016107303.1, from coordinate 235,194 downwards.
GAAAGCCAAATACGGAAGAGGTTTTAGGCTGATTGTCTAATGGATAAGATAAAGAATCAAAGAAGTAATTATAGAGAAATAGAAAAATGATGATGGGAATTCAGGTGCCTTTGTCGTTCGTGTGTGTTTTATTATATTTATGCATTTCTTATTTTTATTTTTTGAGACGGAGTCTCCTTGTGTCACCCAGGCTGGAGTGCAGTGATGCGATCTCCACTCACTGCAACCTCCACCTCCTGGGTTGAAGTCATTCTCCTGCTTCATCCTCCAGAGCAGGAGCTGGGATCACAGGGATGCACCACCATGCTCGGCTAATTTTTGTATTTTTAGGAGAGATAGGGTTTCACCATGTAGAGATAGGGTTTCACCATGTTGGCCAGGCTGGTCTCGAACTCCTGATTTCTTGGAATCCACTGGCCTTAGCCTCCTGCAGTGCTGGGTTACAGGAGTGAGCCACCGTTCACAGACTTGTATACTATGCTATAATAGGTCCCTTCATTTCCACCACCCCTCATATATCTGTCACTCCTTTGCCAGGTATTGATTTATGTGTAGGAGGAATAAATCTCAGAAAGAAATTAATTTAGCAAGGATTAAACAACTAGGAAACTCAAACCCAGCAAGCCCTCCCTGCAAATGATTCTACCTCCCAAGCATAGCTTATATCCATCTGCTTCATCCACTTAGGGTCTAAATCAGCACCACATTTCACCAGTGGGGTGGCAATTGCCTTTTCCACAGTCTCCTAGATTCCAGTTACGCACCTGGGCCTCCTTTATTTTCATGTCAGTCATATTAATCATGTAGGGATTCCTGGTTACCCCGAGGTGAATCCAATGGCTGTGAGTGTCAAACACACACTCCTTGTTGCTCCTTAGTTTCCTGTGTACCCAGTGTGCTCTCCGTCTCTCTACAGTCGTCTTGTCATTCTCCCCACTTCATTCCCAGCATTTGAGGCAGAGCCTCTTCCTTCAACATCAGATTGTTTTCACCTTTGTGCCTTCACAGCTGACAGCTGTGTGGAAAATCCTTCCGCCAATCTTTCAGGGGTTCAATCCGTGTTTTTCATTAATGTCACAAATATCTGATTAGTGAGACCTTCTCTGTCACCCAAAATTATACACTCAGCATTATCTATTATTGATTTTGAATTCTGGCTGGGCAAAGTGGCTCACGCCTGTAATCCCAGTACTTTGGGTTGCTGAGATGGTCGGATCACTTGAGGTTGGGAGTTTCAGACAAGCTTGGCCAACATGGTGAAACATCCTCTCTACAAAAAATATACAAAAAGAGTTAGCCGGGCATGGTGGCAGTTGCCTGTAATCCCAGCTACTCGAGAGGGTGAGGCAGGAGAATCACTTGGATCCAGGAGACGCAGGTTGCAGTGAGCCAAGATCGTGACACTGCACTGTAGCCTGGAAGACAGAGGGAGACTCTGTCTCAATAAATAAATGAACGAACAAACAAATAGATTTCATGCACAGATGCTTCCCAATGGATCATTCATTTATTGGTCCACTTGTGCATTCATTTTCTGCCCTCCCATTTAACCATCTGCAATATCAGTGTCCCAAGAGCAGAGGCCAAATGCATCTTGTTCACCGTTCGTGGAAGGCAGGAGAATGCTGTCCCACCCCAAAATGTCCCTGTCCTGGCCTCCATAGCTTGTGAATATGTTATTTTACATGGAAAGGAGGAATGAAGATTGCAGATGGAATTACGGTTGCTAGTCAGCTGAACTTAAAACAAGGGTATCCTGAATGATTTCCGGGAGATTATGATGGATTTTCATCTTGGTGAACCCAATAGAATCCCCAAGTTTTCAAAAGATAAGGAAGAAGGGAGAGCAGCATTCAGAGAAAGAGGTGTGGTAAGGAAGAAGGGTCTGAGTGATGCCATGTGAGATGTGACCAGTCTTTGTGGGCTTTGAGGAAGGAGGAAGGGGACCAGGAGCCAAGGAACTGGGAGCCTTTAGAAGCTGGGACAAGTGAGAAGCAGATTCTTGCCTGGAACCCTCAGAGGGAAGGCAGCCTTGCTGTCACCTTGTTTTTAGCCCAGTGAGATGCACTTCATACTTTGAGCTACAGCACTGTAAGATAATTAAAAAGCCGCTTTATTTTCACCCACGAATCTTGTGGAAATTTGTTATGGCAACAATAGGAAAGGATTCCAACTGCACAGCCTGAGCATGGGGCCGTGGCTGAATGAGTCAGTGAGTCGAAGTGTGCGTGCATGAGCTCTGTTCTCTGTTACGGCAAGGCTCTTGCTCTGCTGAGTCAGCCAGGGTTGCTTCATGACCAACAGTAATTCATTCCTTGGCAAGTGGAACTTCTCTAAAACACCCACCCTCATGAGATGTTCCCTTCCCTTCCCTCTCTCAAGTCCCCAGGAATTTATCCTCCAGTTAGGAATGCAGGCAGAAAAAACACTGCATTTTTCCTGAGAAGGATGTCAGATTGGCAATCATTCTTCTAGCTTGTAGGAGGTCTCACCTGCAGGACATTAAAGGTTAAGAGACTTCGCTGAGCCCTTTGGTGGCCCTAGATCCCTTTCACTGTTGGAGTGTCTGGAGTTCAGAGATGGTGGAAGACAGGCCCTCATTCACAGAGCTGGGAGGTTTGAGCCAACGCTTGCATCCAAGGCTTCCACCTCCCCAGGTTTCCAAAAGCAGAGATAAGAGGGGTCCTTTACTCACCAGATTTGGAGCTTGGTTCTGTGGGTGAAGGCCAACTACTTGAAGGGTTTCCTAGAACATGGGACAGGAGAGATGTGAGGAAATGAGGGTGCTTGTCCTCTACTCAATGGAAATCTTTGAGGTTGGTTCATGGCCAACACTCTGTTATCTAATGTTGGACCCTGGGAGTCTTGGGATCCTCTTCTCCATAATTTTTGTGTGCGATGCCCACTGTCTTGAGACTTGAAGGTATAAAGAGAAAACAGGAGCATCACACTACCTGACTTAGAAATATGTTACAGAGCTGTAGTAAGCAAAACAGCATGACATTGGCATAAAGAAAGGCACATAAAAAATGGAACAGAATGGAGAACACGGATATGATCCATGCATTTACACCCAATGGCTTTTTTTTGTGTGTGTGTGATGGAATCTTGCTCTGTCATGCAGGCTGGAGTGCAGAGGTGCAATCTCAGCTCAATGCAACCTCCACTTCCTGGATTCAAGCAATTCTCTTGCCTCAAACACCCGAGTAGTGGTATTACAGGCACTGGTCACCATGCTCAGCTAATTTTTGTATTTTTAGTAGAGACGAGGTTTCACTCTGTTGGCCAGCCTGGTCTTGAACTCCTGGCTTCAGGTGATCCACCCGCCTCGGCCTCCCAAAGTGCTGGAATTGCAGGTGTGAGCCACCATACCCAGCCCATTTAATGGACTTTGACAAAGGTGCCAAGAACTCACAATCAGGAAAGGACAGTCTTTTCAATAAATGGTGTGGGGAAAACTGGATATCTACATGCAGAGGAATAAAACTGCATCTATACCTGTCACCATAAACAAAAATCAAATGAAAATGGATTAAAAACATGAGTCTAAGGCCTGAACCTATGAAACATGTAGAAGAAAATAATGGGGAAGACATTTGTCTGACGAAAGACATTTTGTTTAAAACCTTCAAAACACAAGTAATCAAAGCAAAAAATAGACCATTAGGATTACATCAAACCAAGCAACTTCTGCACCACAAAAGATAAACCAAGAAAGTGAAGAGACAACCCACAAAATAGGAGCAAATATTTGCAAACTATTCATCTGAGACGGGATTAATAACTGGAAATATAAGAAGCTCAAACAACTCAATAAAACAATTTAATTAAAAAACGAGCAAAAGACATGAGGAGACATTTCTCCACAAACAAAACATAGAAATGGCGATCACGTATATGAAAAAGTACTCGGCATCACTCATCATCAGAGAAATGTAAATTACAATCGCGATGAGTTTTCATCTCATCCCATTAAAATGCCTTTTAGGCCGGTGGCTCACGCCTGTAATTCCGGCACTTCAGGAAGCGGAGGTGGGCGGATCACCTGAGGTCGGGAGACCAGCCTGACCATCATGGAGAAACTCCCTCTCTACTAAACATACAAAAATTAGCTAGGCGTGGTGGCACACGCCTGTAATCCCAGCTACTTTGGAGGCTGAGGCAGGAGAATCAGTTGAACGCGGGAGGCGGAGGTTGCAGTGAGCTGAGATCACACCCTTGCACTCCAGCCTGGGCGACTATGAGTGAAACTCCATCTCAACATAAATAAATAAATAAAATAAAGTAAAGTAAAATGGCTTTTATCTGCAAGACAGGCAAAACAAATGCTGGCAAGATGGTAGAGAAAGGAGAACCCTGGTACCCTGTTGGTAGGAATGTAAATTAGTACAACTATTATGGAGAAAAGTATGGAAATTCTTTAAAAAACTAAAAGGAGGCTGGGCATAGTGGCTTATGCCTGTAATTTCAGCACTTTGGGAAACCGAGGCAGGCACCTCACTTGAGGTCAGGAGTTTGAGAGCAGCCTGCCCAAAATTGGGATATCCCGTCTGTGCTAAAAAAATACAAAAATTAGCCAGGCATGGTGGCATGCACCTGTAATCACAGCTACTAGGGAGGCTGAGTCAGGACAATCATTTGAACCTAGGAGGCACAGGTTGCAATGAGCCAAGATCTCACCACTTAGACTCCAGCTTGGACTAAGGAGGGAAACTCTTTCTCAAAAAAGAAAAAAAAAAAAAAGAGAACTTTCATAGTATCCAGCAATTTCACTACTGGGTTTATATCCAAAGGAAAGGACATCAGTGTATCGAAGTGATATCTGCACTCATATGACTGTTCCAGCACTGTTCACAGTAGCCAAGATGTGGAGTCAACCTACCTGCCTATCAGTGGGTGAATGGATAGAGAACTGTGGTACACACACACAGTGGAGACTACTCATCCATAGAAACAATAACATCCTGTCATTTGCAGCCACATGGATGGAACTGGAGGTCATTACAAAGATTCCCATTTCTCACCCACATGCAGGAGATAAAAGGTGGATCTCATGAAGGTGGAGAATACAATGGTGGACACCAGAGGCCAGGAAGGGAAGGGTGGAGGGTAACAAAAAAAAGAATATAGATGTATTTATTTATTTAGAAACAGAGTCTCTCTCTGTCTCCCAGGCTGCAGTGCAGTGGCATGATCTCGGCTCAGTGCAACCTCGGCCTCCTGGCTTTAAGTGCTTCTCCTGCCTCAGCCTCCCAAGTAGCTAGGACTACAGGTGCATGCCAGCATGCTCGGCTAATTTTTCTTGTCTGTTTAGTAAAGATGAATTTCCCACATGTTGGCCAGGGTGATCTCGAGTTCCTGATCTTAAATGATCCACCTTCCTTGGCCTCTCAAAGCGCCGAGATTACAACTGTGAACCACCACGCCCAGCATATAAAGGTATTTATGACCACTAGATTTTACTTTTAAAAATGGTAAAGGTGGTAAATTATATAGTTACATTTAACCTCAATAAATATTTTTGAAAATGAAAAGAAAAGGGTGTAGGGGTTGCTGGTGATGATATCTCTCTGTGTGGGTGAGAGGCCATGATGGGCTTCTGGGAAATGGGTAAGATTGAGGGGCTGAGGGAACCTCTGATCTCCCCAAACTAAGCCCAGTCTCCCCTTCTCTGGGTCTGTCCTGACCGCTTTCTCCATCTGCCTGGGTGCCTGGAGCCCTGATCGGAGGCCTCCATGCAGGCCATGAAGGAGGGTTTGGAGGTGCCCTGTCTGCCATCCTGCGCCCTGACTCCGCCCTCACACCTGCTGTGTCTTCTCTCTGCATCTGTCCATGCTTTTCTCCATCATCAGCAGGAAGCTCCTTAGCTAAGGATTTAGGATCATAGGACATGAGAGAGATATGGGCTTTTCTCACCTGTGACAGAAACAAGCAGTGGGTCACTCGGGTCTGACCACTCGTAGGGAGAGTGACGGAAAGAGCCGAAGCATCTGTAGGTCCCTCCGTGGGTGGCAGGGCCCAGAGGGAAATCTGCCTGGAATGTTCTGTTGACCTTGCGCACTGCAGGGAGCCTACGTTCATGGGCTCCCCCCTCCCTGGATAGATGGTACATGTCATAGGAGCTCCGGGAGCTACAGGACAAGGTCACGCTCTCTCCTGCCTGAACCTTGGGGCCCGGCTGGGCTGAGAGAGAAGGTTTCTCATATAGACCTGGAAGGAGAAGAGGCAGTTTCCTCAGGGAGGTTCTTCCTTGTCACAGCTCCCCTCACACCTGAGCTGAGAACTCACTCCCCTGCTCTATGACCTAATGCTCTCTCTCTCTCTCTCACTCTCCACCCCATCTCTCTTCATATCTGTTTCCTCCTTCTACCTTTTCTGTCTCTCTAGGTCTATGACCTCACTTCCCCACCCTGAGGTATGTTTTCCCTTTTTGGATTGTTTTATTCTCTCTGACCCTCCTTGGATTGGTTGACTTGATCTTCCTTTTTCTTTAATTTTGAGTCTCTCACTTTCTGTCTTGTTCATAACTTTCTGCACATTTCTATCTATTATCTATCGATCTATCTATTTATCTATTTTGTGTCTATCTACAAATTATCTATCATCTATATTTATGTATCACTTATCTATCTCTCTATCAATTGTCTATCTGTCTATCTATCCATCAATCATCTATTATCTATATATGTATCATCTATCTCTCTCTCTATTACCTCTCTGTCTGCCTCTCTGTCTCTATTTATGTATCATCTATGTATATATCTATGTGTCTATCATCATCATCGTCATCATCATCATCTCTATGTATCATCTATCAGTCATCATCTATGTATCTATAACCAATCCATTATCTATCATCTACCTATTTATCATCTATCTACGTCTATCTATCCATCTATCATCTCTCTCTCTCCGTCTCCTTGTCTTTCTCTGCCTCTCAGTCTCTCTAGTTCTATTTGGAATCTCTGCAATCCATCCCCACATCTTTATCTTTCTCTGTCTTTGTGTCCCTCCCTCAGGGTTCTGATTTTGGGGCTTTTCTCTCCTCCTTTCCATCATTCTCTCCACTCTGCCCTCTTTTCTTTCTTTTTATGTGTCTGTGAATCTCTTAATCTCCTTCTTCTGGCTCATTTTGTGTGTGTTTATGTCTTTGCTTTTTGGTGTCCCTGATTTTTCTCTGTGTCTCTCAGCGATCCTATCATATGTGGGATTATTTGGAATATGAGCCTCAGAATCCAGTCTGGGGACCCCAAGTTCACACAGCATACAGGGGTTGGTGTTCTGGGGCCATGATATCCTGGGATGATTACTCTCCATTGCATGGAAGGCAGAGGTGTCAGAATAAACACGGCATCTGTAGGTGGCACAAGGCCTGAGGCCACAGGGCCCAACTCAGGTCAGAAATATGGGTGTCCTTGGGTTCTTCTGGTAGAAACACTTTGTGGAGGTAAAACAGAAATGAAACTTCTAACCTGTGCCAGGTCTCTGAGCAAAGTCAGCATGGAAGGACACCTCTCTCTGGGACATGTCTGTCTGTCTGAGTGTCTCCTTTACCTCTTTCTCTCTTTTCTACCTCCCTGTATGGCCCCTGTGTCTGTCCCCTGTTATGACACCTGTTCTGTACTTATGTCTCCTGTTTCTCTGTCTCTGTTGGTACAGACCTCACCAAGTCACTCTCTTTCCATAAGAATCCCACACTTATCTTCCTCATGACCACCTGGGGGTTCCAAGTCCTGGATCATTCACTCTGTGTCCCAGTGACAATGAGAACAATGTCTAGACACTCTCACCTGTGACCACGATGTCCAGGGGATCACTGGGAGCTGACAACTGATAGGGGGTGTGAGTAACAGAACCGTAGCATCTGTAGGTCCCTGCAAGGGCACGCATCATGGAACCGATGGAGAAATTGGCCTTGGAGACCCCATCATGGATCTGTCCAACGAGGCGTGAGGGGTCCTTAGAGATCCACTCTTTGTGCAGAAAGAAGTGCTCAAACATGATATCTGACCAACATTGCAGGATGACTCTCTCTCCTGATTTCACCAGGGGACCTGGGTGGGCCAGGAGGGAAGGTTTTCTGTGGTTTCCTAGAAAGAGAAGTTGTGAGTTTAGAAGGCATCTCTCTTTATCATCCCATCCATGGCACCTGGAATGAGTGAGGGTTCCCCTCCCCGTGTCTGTCTCTCTCCTCCCTCTCTGCATCTCCGTGTCTTTTCTGTGCCCATATCCCCTGGTGCAGGTGCCTCCATCTGTCTTCCTCCCTCTTCTCTGTCCCTCTGTCTCCAGTAGCCCCTGACTCCCTTGCCACTGTGAAGACAGCCTCATCTCTTGGGCTGTTGTATCTGTTTCCCACTAATCTCTTTCCTGCTGTTTATATGGGGGTGGAAGAGGACAGGCTGCATGTCCAGGCTCTTAGCAGCCTGAATCAATCTCTTTTGAACAAATTGGAGTCTCTGGCAGGTGGTATCAACTCATCAGTAAGACAGACATCAGTGACCACACACCCTGTTCCTGATGGGGATTGGGAGCCTCTCCTGCCATGTCTGTGCCTTCTCCATGGCCCCAGCTTCCATAGGGTGGCCCCTGGTGCTGGTTCCAGGAGCATCAACCCCTTCCTATGTGGATGGAGCCTGGTGGTAACATCAGCATCCTGCCCTTGCTGATCTCAGGGTAGCCAACCTTCTCCTTGTTTGGTTTCTTTAATTAATTGATTAATTAATTTATTTTTGAGACAGTCACTTTTTCACCCAGGCTGGAGTGTAGTGGTGTTGTCTTGGCTCACTGAAACCTCTGCCTCCCCAGTTCAAGTGATTCTCTTGCCTCAGCCTCCCCAGTCGTTGGATTACTCGCGCCCACCACCACACCTGGCTGTCCTTGTTTGGTTTCCTAACTTGTCCTTGACCTGGGTTCCTAACTTGTCCTTGACCTGGGTTCCTGTGTTGGTTTCCTGTTGCTGCTGCAGAAAATTACCACAAACATGGCAGCAGGAGAGAACACACTGACCCCTTCCACTTCTGGAGACAGAAATTGGATCCAGTTCTCCCTGTGCTGAAATCAAGGCGTCTACAGGGCTGCGTTCCCTCTGGAGAATCAGCGAATCAGTTCTCCTGACTTCTCCAGCCCTTAGAGGCCACCTGCATTCTGTGACTAGTGGTCTTCCTCCACTTTCAAAGCCCGCAGTGGCTGATAGCGTCTCCCTCCCACTACACTGCTCTAATCCCCACTCCCCTCTTCCTCCACCTCTCACGCGGACCCTTGTGATTACACTGAGCCCAGTGGGACAGTCCAGGCTGTCTCCCCATCTCAAGGTCAACTCATCAACAACCTGAGCTCCACCTTCCCCTTCAGTCCCCTGCCCTATAACATAAATAGTCACAGGCTCCAGGGATTACAATGTAGCCATCATTGGGGACAGTTATTCTTCCCACCACAGCACCCATTTGCCCTGTATTCAATCTCCCTTGACCCCAAATACAGCCAGGGCCTGGGTGATGGGACCCTGACGGACAGCCCCACCAGAAGCTCTGGGATTCAGGAGGTGGGACAGTGAGAAGCCCAGACGGAAAGCCTCTGACCTGTGACCATGATCACCATGGGGTTGCTGGGTGCCGACCACCCAGTGGGGGAGTGTGGGTGTGAACCCCGACATGTGTAGTTCCCTGCATGTGCTGTGGTCACAGGGCTCATGTTGAAGCCCTCCTGGAATATTCTGCCATGGAAGATGGGAACGTGGATTCTGTCTTCTTTGTATAGCATGAAATTGTTAAACCTATGACGATAGTGACACCGAAGAGTCACGTGTCCTCCGCGAGGCACCACAGCGCTGGGCCAGGCAGACAGGAAGGGCTTGTCCTGACCACCTGGGGGAGAAGGAGGCACTGCCTTAGAGAGGAGGATGTGGAGCCGCCCCTCACTCCCAGTGCCCAGAAGATTCTCCCCATTTCCACTTTCTAAGGCTCCTACCACACCTGGGTGCCCAGGGCTACAGGAAGGACCCATCCTGCATAGACATGGCGTCTCCCTACAACAAGTGTCAGCTGAGAACTTTGAGCAAGTGCTGGAGAAGCAACTCTTACTAGATTTTAATACTGCAAAATTACTCATATAAAACAATACAAAGTAGACACGGCATGGAGGGCAAGTCCTATGTGAATGGAATATCAGCCAATTGATGAACTGAGCCCCCATCAGAGGATTTGGAATGTCAGGGCCATGGCTGTGGTTTCCTCACCTTTTCTGGTAGAAAGACCGCAGCCACACTGCAGCCCCTACCATCACGGAAACGCTGGAGGGTGTGAGTTACACCTTTGTCCTCAGAGGACCTGCTGTTCCTAGCACTGCTTCCCTCTCTTTCTCTGCTGCTGACACCACTTCCTCCCTGCACACCCATCTTGGAGCACCCTAGTCTCACCCCAGTCTTCACAGAGCTTGACTCAGGAAAGGGAAAGAAAGGCCGGGGAGGGCAAGGTCAGAAATGTGGGCCGAGCATCCGAGGGTCCCCTCTTCCTAGTGTATGAGAGACTCCCCGACAGGACTTCCCTCCCATTTCAGGAAAATCCTCTTATGTGGGGAGATGACACCCTAAGGTTTGGGGAAGGACTCACCCATGTGTGGACCGGCCCTCTGGACCAAGAACAACCCTAGAAAGAAAGATCATGATGGACCATCCATCTGCAGGCAAACCAGGGCACCCTGCTGCCCCCACTGGGTTGTGCGTCTTGGCAGCCAGGCCCTTGCTGGGCTGAAGGTAAACTCACCCTCGCTGCCTACCTGCCCCCAGGAACAAGGATCTCGGCTGTGCAGAGACTCAGCCTCCAGGCCCAGATCTCTACCTCCAGGCCTAGATCTACACAACAGGCCCAGATCTCCACTCCAGGTCCGTATCTCCACTCCAGACCCATATCTCCTCTCCAGGCTGATAAGTCCACTCCAGGCCCATATCTCCACTCCAGGCTCCTATCTCAACTCCAGGCTCATATATCCACTCCAGGCTCATATCTCCACTCCAGGCCCATATTTCCACTCCAGGCTTCTATCTCCTCTCCAGGCCCATATCTCCTTTCCAGGCTTGTATGTCTGCTCCAGGCCCGTATCTCCACCCCAGGCCCATATCTCCACTCCAGGATCATATCTCCACTCCAGGCCCAGATCTCCACTTCATGCCCTTAACTCCACCTCCGGGCCCATAACTCCACCTCTAGGCCCATATCTCCACTCCAGGCCCATATCTCCACTTCAGGCCCATATCTCTACTGCAGGCCCATAACTCCACCTCCAGGCCCATATCTCCACTCCAGGCCCATCGCTCCACTTCTAGGCCCATCACTCCACCTCTAGGCCCACATCTCCCCTCCAGGCCCATATCTCCCCTCCAGGCCCATATCTCCACCCCAGGCACATATCTCCACCCCAGGCCCATATCTCCACTCCAGGCCCAGATCTCCACTCCAGGCACATATCTCCACCCCAGGCCCCTATCTCCACTCCAGGCCCAGATCTCCACTCCAGGCCCAGATCTCCACTTCAGGCCCATAACTCCACCTCCAGGCCCATAACTCCACCTCTAGGCCCATATCTTTACCTCCAGGTCCAGATCTCCATCCCCGCACTCCCTCCCTCGATTCCCTTCCAGGACTCACCAACACACGCCATGCTGACGACCATGAGCAACATGGTGCTGCCGGTGCAGACAGGCGGCTGCGCCCCAGCTCAGCTCAGCAGCGCACAGGATGTTATTTGGCGCCCTGCCCATGCAGTTTACATGTTGACCACATCATGGGAGGGTGACGTACGCAGGCTCTTTCTACCTTGCATGAGGCCCAGTGGGTGCTCGCTCAAGAGCGGAGCATGGCTTCCTGGAAATTGCTCTCACTAGAATTGACACCTCGCGTCCTTCACTATGACCAACTCAAAACACGTCTCAGATCCAACCTCCTGAACACGAGATGCCTAAAATCTGTGCTAACATGAAAGACTTTTCATGTATTTTTATTGCTTTTATCTGAGATTCAAACTCTTCTTCCTGTGTAATATGCAAAATATCTAATAGGTATTATTAAGGTTTTCAGAGCAATTGTGACAATAAACCATTAGAATTTTTCATGATTGTATTTCTAGTATTACAGCAGAACCAGTTCAAATGATTTAAACTCCCAGGGAAGGATTATGCAATTATTTACAATCTTAGAATTGTACTTTATCAGCAAAAATCACAACATGTAAATTCTGGATTTTTGTAGATTTATCTAGAATTTGTCTCATGTCCCAAGATTCCAGAGTTCCAACTCATGGTTTGCTCTCTCTCTGTCTCTCTGCCTCCCTCATTTTAAATTTTACAGAAATATCCAGTAACATAATGCTATAGAAAATCAATTTCCCCAGCACTTTGGAAGCCGAGGTGAGTGATCAACCGAGGTCAGGAGTTTGAGACCAGCCTGGCCAATATAGTGAAACCATGTCTCTGCTAAAAATACAAAAATTAGCCATGCCTGGTAGCAGGCACTTGTAATGCCAGCTATTCAAGAGGCTGAGGCACGGAATCCCTTGAACCTGGGAGGCAGAAGTTGCAGTGAGCCGAGATCGTGCCACTGCACTCCAGCCTGGGCAACAGAGCGAGACTCTGCCTCAAGAAAAATAAAAAAAGCATAGCAAATAGCCTATAATAAATAACTAGAGGACTCCAGCTACCAAATTTTAGGGGTTGTATAAGGCTGCATAAAATGCAGCATTCTCAAGAGAGTGGACAGAGAGAGAGCCACTGAGCAGAAAACAGTGTCTAAAATACATCCGTGTACACACAGTCCCTTTATAGTTGACAAAGGCTGCCATGTGGTTTAAGGTGGAATAGAATGTCTTCTCAATAAATAACATGGGCCCAAGGGTTACACATGGAGAAAAATATATCTAAAAGTATTCTCACACTATAAAACACTTGTTTATTTTATCTTGTTATTGTAATTTTTTTATGTTTTATATTTAAAATTGAGAAATAAAAATTATATACAGTCATCCCTCATTATTCGTGGGTGATTGGTCTCAGGATCTCCACTCAGATAGCACAATCTGCAGATGCTCAAGCCTCTTACATGAAATGGCACAGCATTTGCAAATAACCCATGCACATCCTCCTGTGTACATGAAATCATCCCTTGATTATTTATAATTCCTGATACAGCCTACACACAGCTTCATTTGTGTCCATTCAACATAGTTTTGCTTTTTGAAACTTTGTGGATTTTTTCTCTGAATATTTTTGATTTATATTTGGTTCAATAAACACCTGTAAATCCCACAGATACAGAGGACCGACTGTATATTTATAGTATGAAAGATGATGTGTTGATATGTGTCCCCGTGGAGATGAGACTAACAAGGCCTATGACTCTACAAATGTTTCATCATGGAATGACTCTGCCAGCTTTCCAGGTCTGCAGAGAGTAAGAATATCACTTGTTCATGTGATTCACGATCCTTGGAACCTCTTATGTGCTGCATCTTTGGATGGAAATTGGAGTCTCAGAGACAAATGAGGCTCCACCCTGCTTCCAGAAGCTCAGAGTCCAGGGGTGAGAACCCAGTGGAGAACAGTTGGAGTTATTTGGACATGGTAATGATAACACTGGAAACTTTCAGCCAAAAAAAGAGTCACCTAAAGAATGAAGGCAGACATGTTTATTTGAAGAGGAGAGAACTACACTGAAATCAAAAAAATTTTATAAGGTTTGCTGATGCCAGAAGGCTGAAAAATAGTCTGAGGAAAGGTGGAACAGCACGAGGGAAGGTGGAACAGCACGTGTCTAAGTGCCGTGTTAAGAGAGAGCCTCTTGTATGTTTGGAATTGTGAGTTCCTCAGTGTGATTGCAGCCTCAAGTAGACTAGGAAGTAAGCCAGTTAGGTTGGAGAGGTGGGCAGGGGTCAAGTGAAATAGAGAATTGTGGGCTAAGCAAAGGAGTGTGTTTTCTCTGCAGCAGGCAGTGGGGACCTTAGACATTGGTAAGCAAGAGACAGGCACCAGATTTGTGGTGTGAGGAAGAGTGATGCTCTAAGATGGAGACTCACGCCTTCAGATTCCAGCTGCTGGTACATTAGAGCTGGCAAGCTGGGTTTGAGACAGGGCTGTTGTCTCCCTAGAAGATCCCATCAAGGCCTGACTGTGGTGCTCATGGGCAGGAGACAACGCTCTGGGCTCAGCATTTGGAAGTTCTATACACACGCTGGTATCTGTTGAGGGTCTCTTGCTCCTCTGAGAAGGGCCAGTGATTTTTCTCTGTGTGAAAATGCAGTGATCCAACTGTGCGTATGTCACCTCCTGAGGGTCTTGTTCATCAGAGTCCTGGAGAGAGGGAAATCCTGAGTGAGGGAGGGTGTTCACATTTTTCAGGACTATTAGGGAATAAGACTGTATCCATGAGGCTGGGCTAGGAGGACCTACCTCCCTGTTCACTGTTCTGTGTCCCGCAGGCTCTTGGTTCATTACAGCAGCATCTGTAGGAGACGGAAGCAATCGAAACAGCTGGGAGGGCACTTCTGGGTCCTCATTTCATGAACAGATACCAACACACAGGGGGAGGCCATAGGTGCCTGAGGTCCCTCAGCTGCCAACAGCCAGACTCAGACATTCCATCTCTCTGAGTGCAAGACCCCATTCCATGAATAGCTGTCAGTTCCCATCCCATTGATTCTATCTCCCACTTTCTGCCTGTCATGGAATCTTCTCCTGGATGTGAGTGGCTGCAGGGGACGTGAGGATACAGTTCACAATCAGGCAATGGTCTGTGAGCTGAAGGCAGGGGCAGGTTGTCTGGTGCTCTCTCTAGAAAGCTCTGCCTCTGGCTCCTGCCTTGGGCCAGAGACTTTCCTGCCAGTGAGGAACACACACCTGCGTGCTCCCATCCTGCTTCCGCACAGGGCCCTGAGTTCTCTGGCCTCTGCTTCGTGAGGCTTACTTTTTTTTTTGGAGCACCAGCGATGAAGGAGAAAGAAGGGAAGGATGGTGAAGAGGATGATGGCCACTGAGTACCTAATCACAGCATGCAGGTGTCTGGCGATACCTGGAGGAAGATGAGAATCCAATAAGAAGCTAACCATAGCAGTTCCTCTTTGTGGATTGTCTCTCATTTCTTGGTTGCCAGGCAACCACATAAAACACCTCTTTAGGACAAGCACCCACGAGGCGGGAGACCCAGCTTTCTCCTGCTTTCTCCGTTATAGTTTTCATAATAACAATAGAATGTGCTGATGATACAACTGCTATTGTTTCAATGTTTGACCCCTCCAAACCCCACTTTGAAATTTAATCCCCAGTGTGGGAGGTTGTGCCTATTGGGAGGGGTGTTTTGGTCATGGGGGTGGATCCATCATGAATAGATTAATGCTGTCCCCAGAGGACGGGGTTAGCAAGTTCTCCCTCTATTAGTACCCTGGAGAGTTGATTCTTAAAAAGAGCTTGGAAGCTCCATCACACCCCCTTTCTCCCTCTCTTGCCATGTGATCTCTGTGGTCTCTGCACACGCAGGACCCCCTTCTCTTCTGTCAGTGTGGGAGCAGCCTGAGGCCGCAGCCAGAAATAGATGGTAGTGTCCTGCTTCTAGTACAGCGTGCAGATCAGTGAGCCAAACACATCTCTTTTCTTTAGAAGATACCCAGGCTCAAGTGTTCTTTTATAGCAACAAAAATAGGCTAAGACAGCAACATCCTGAGATCAGGAGGAACGTCTCAGAACAGCCTGGGCTGTCTTCCTGTTCTTCCTGGAGGAGAACATCATGCAGTGCTTTAGCTGAGTGTTCCCTGTGGCTCCAGGGTACAAAACCCAGGCTGGGCTGCTTTCTGGCTTCCCCCAGCTACAGTGCACATGAAGTGACTCCATGTGTCCTGAGCAGTTTTTCTGAGCCTTGAGGGACTGGCTCACCCTGAAAGGAAGGTTTCTGTTGTCACTCGCTGCTTATCTATAAGTAATGAACCTGCCTATGTAATGTATTCCCTGTGTGTTCTGTCTCCCTGGAGTGATGGTGAGTGATAGAAATTGGCACAGCCCCAGGTGCAGTATGGGAGGTGTTTAGAGTCTTCTCTGGGAAGACTGGACTGGGATTGATACACAGTGAATGTGCTTTACAGTTTCTACATCCACAACCCTCTTGACTCAAACAAATTACATTCTCCAAGAAAAGGAAAAAACAGTGACATTGAAATCAACATAAGTGAGGTTGAGCTGTCTTATATCAAACAGCCAGGAAATAATGATGAAGCTCGTGGGCAACATGCTACTTTTGTCATCTTGGGAGTCAGATATTAGGCTGCTGTTCCACCCGAGAGTCTGGGGGAAAGACCACCCCCTCCATCATCTGTTGCTTCAATACAGCCTGTCTTTCTGTGAATTACTCCAAAAGGTGACCAGGAGATAGTGCTGGCACTGGTCTCTGAGTCTACGATCTGAACTCCAAAGAATATTAGTTTTTACCTCCCCATGATCTATCTGTATCATTAATGTGATTGGAAGTAGGGGTGAGGTGGGGGATTTGGGTGAAGGGGCAAGTTTTGTGCCATGAACAGATCACGTTCTCTATTCCAGGACCTGCGCTGGTGGGTTTCACATTTTCCATATGATCTCATGCTCACAGAAAGCCAAATAAGGAAGATGTTTTCGCCTGATTTTCTTATGGATAGGATAAAGGATCAAAGAAGTCATTATAGAGAAATAGAAAAATGATGATTGGAATTGGTGTGCCTTTGTCATTCGTGTATGTTATATTATATTTATGTATTCTTTATTTTTATTTTTTGCCATGGAGTCTCACTCTGTCACCTAGGGTGCAGTGCAATGACGCGATCTTGGCTCACTGTAACCTCTCCCTCCCTGGTTGAAGCCATTCTCCTTCTTCAACTTCCCGAATAGCTGGTATTACAGGCATGCGCCACCACCCCCAGCTAGTTTTTGTATATTTAGTAGAGATGGGGTTTCACCATGTTGTCCAGGCTGATCTCGAACTCCTGATCTCACTTGATCCAGCCTCCTCAGCCTCCCAAAATGTTGGGTTACAGGTGTGAGCCACCGTTCAGAACCTTGTGTGTTATATTATAATAGGTCTCTTCCTTTGCACCACCCCTCATGTATCTCTCACTCCTCTGCCAAGTATTGATTTACATGTAGGAAAAATAAATCTCAGAAAGAAATCAATGAAGTGAAGATTAAACAATTAGGAAAAATCAAAGCAGGCAAGCCCTCCCTGCAAATTACTCTACCTCACAAACACATCTTGTGTCCATCTTTCATTCATTTAGTGTCTAAATCAGCACCACATTTCACCAGGGGGGCGGGAATTGCCTTTTCCACAGTCTCCTAGATTCCAGTTATGCACCTGGGCCTCCCTTATTTTCATGTCAGTCACTATTCATCATGTAGGGATTCCCAGTTAGCCCCGAGGTAAGTCCAATGGCTGTGAGTGTCAAACACACGCTCCTTGTTCCTCCTTAGTTTCCTGTGTACCCAGAGTGCTCTCTGTCTCTCCACAGTCGTCTTGTCATTCTCCCCATCTCATTCCCAGCATTTCAGGCAGAGCCTCTTCCTTCCACATAACATTGTTTTCACCTTTGTGCCTTCACGGCTGACAGCTGTGTGGAAAATCCTTCCGCCAATCTTCCAGGGGTTGATCTATTTTTTTCATTAAGGTCACAAGTATTATTTGATCAGTGAGAACTTCTCTGTCACCCGAAATTATACACTCAGCATTATCTATTATTTCTTTTAAAATACGGCTCGGCGCCTTGGCTCACGCCTCGAATCTCAGCACTTTGGGAGGCTGAGACGGGCGGATCCCTTAAGGTTGGGAGTTTGAGATAGCCTGGGCAACATGGTAAAACCTTGTCTGTACTAAAAAAAAAATACCAAAAAAAAATTAGCCAGGCGTGGTGGGACATGGGTGTAATCCCAGCCTCTCGGGAAGCTGAGTGTAGAGAATCGCTTTAACCTGGGAGGTGGAGGTTGCGGTGAGCCGAGATCCCGCCACTGCACTCCAGCCTGGGGCACAGAGGGAGACACCGTCTCATAAAAACAACCAATCAATCAATCATTCTCATGCACAGATGCTTCCCAATGGATCATTCATTTATTGGTCCACTGGTGCATTCATTTTCTGCCCTCCCATTTAATCCTTTGCAATATCAGTGTCCAAGAGCAGAGGCCAAATGCACCTTGTTTACCATTTGTGGAAAGGATAAGAATGCCGCCCCACCCCAAAATGTTCCTGTCCTAGTCGCCATATCTTGTGAATATGTTATTTTACATGGAAAAAAGGAATGCAGATTGCAGATGGAATTACGGTTGCTAATCAGCTAACCTTAAAAGGAGGGTATCCTAGATGATTTTAGGGAAATTATGATGGATTATCTTGGTGTTTCCAATAGAATGCCAAAGTCCTTAAAAGATGAGGAAGAAGGCAGAGCAGCATTCAGAGAAAGAGGTGTGGACAAGGAAGAAGGGTCTGAGTGATGCCGTGTGAGAGGCGTGACCAGCCTTTGTGGACTTTGAGGGAGGAAGACGGGGACCAGGAGCCAAGGAATGTGGGAGCCTCTAGGAGCTGGGAAAAGTGAGGAAGCAGATTCTTGCCTGGAACATTCAGAGGGAAGGCAGCCTTGCTGTCACCTTGATTTTAGCCCAGTGAGATGATGCATTTCATACTTCTGAGCTACAGCACCATGAGATATTTTTTTAAAATGTGGTTTCCATCCACGAAGCTTGTGGAAATTTGTTATGGCAACATAGGAAAAGGTTCCACACTGCACAGTCTGAGCATGGGGCAGTGGCTGAACGAGTAAGTGGAAGTGTCATGTGCACGGATGAACTACGTTCTCTCTTACCGCAAAGCTCTTGTTCCACTAAGTCAACCAGGGTTGGATCATGACAGACAGGAGCTCATTCCTTGGCAAGTAGAACTTCTCTACAAATACACCACCCTCAAAAATGTTCCCCGTCCTTCCCCTTCTCAAGCCCCCAGGCATTTGTCCTCCCAGTTAGGAATGCAGGCAGAACAAACACAGCATTTTTCCTGAGAAGAATGTCTGATTTGCACTCATCCTTCTACCCTGAGGTCTCAGCAGCAGAAAATTAGAGATTAAGAGATTTCACTGAGCCCTGTGCTGGGCCCAGATCCCTTTCGCTGTTGGAGTGTCTGGGGTTCAGAGACAATGGAAGACAGGCCCACAATCACAGAGCTGGCAGGTGCTGAGCCAACGCTTGAATCCAAGGCTTCTACCTCCCCAGGTTTCCAAAAGCAGAGATAAGAGGGGTCCTTCACTTACCAGTTTTGAAGCTTGGTTCAGTGGGTGAAGGCCAACTACTAGAAGGGTTTCCTAGAACATGGGACAGGAGAGAGGTGTGGCAATGAGGATGCCTGTCTTCTACTCAATGGAAATCTTTGAGGTTGGTTCATGGCCAACATTCTATTATCTAATGTTGGGCCCTGGGAGTCCTGGCATCCCATTCTCCATAATCATTGTAGGTGACACCAACTATCTTGAGACTTCAAGGTATAAGGAGAAAACAGGAGCATCACACTACCTGACTTAAAAATATGTTACAGAGCTGTAGTAAGCAAAACAACATGACATTGGCATAAAGAAAAGCACATAAAACAATGGAGCAGAATGAAGAACACGGATGTAATCCACCCATTTACATCCAATGGACTTTGACAAAGGTTCGAAGAATCTACAATCTGGAAAGGACAGTCATTTCAATAAATGGTGCAGGGAAAACTGGATATCTACATGCAGAGGGATGAAACTGCACCTCTACCTCTCACCATACACAAAAATCAGATGAAAATGGATTAATGACTTAAGACCTGAATCCATTAAATGTCTAAAAGGAAACACTGGAGAAATGCTCCAGGACATTTGTCTGAGGGAAGACATTTTGTTTAAAACCTCAAAAACACAAGTAATCACAACAACAACAAAAAAATAGACCATTGGGATTATATCAAATCAAGCAGCTTCTGCACCGCAAAGGAAGCAACCAATGAAGTGAAGAAGAGACAACCCACAGAATGGGAGCAAATATTTGCAAACTATGCATCTGAGATGGGATTAATAACTAGAATATAAAAGAAGCTCAAACACCTCAATAAAACTAATAATTTAATTATAAAATTAGTAAAAGACCTGAACAGACATTTCTCAATGAACAAAACATACAAATGAACATATATACATTGCATATATGAAAAAGTGCTCAGTATCACTAATCATCAGAGAAATGCAAATGAAGTCACAATGAGCTATCATCTCACCCCATTACAATGGGTTTTATCTCAGAGACAGACAAAACAAATGTTGGCAAGGTGGTGGAGAAAGGAGAACCCTGATACACTGTTGATAGGAATGTAAATTAATACAGCCATTACAGAGGAGAAGAATATGGAAGTTCCTTAAAAACTAAAAAGAGATTAGGCACTGTGGCTCACGCTTGTAATCCCAGCACCTTGGGAGGCTGAAGTGGGCAGATCACTGGAGGTCAAGAGTTCGAGACCAGCCTGGCTAACATGGTGAAACCCCGTCTCTACTAAAAATACAAAAATCAGCCAGGCGTGGTGGCGGGCACCAGTAATCCCAACTACTCGGGAGGCTGAGGCTGGAGAATCACTTGAATCCTGGAGGTAGAGGTTGCAGTGAGCCCAGGTGGTGCCATTGCACTCCAGCTTGGGCAACAAGAGTGAAACGCTATGTCAAAAAAACAAAAAGCATAAAACAAAACCTAAAAAGAGAACATCCAGAGGATCTAGCAATTCCACTAGTGGGTGTAAATGCAAAGAAAAGGACTTCAGTGTATTGAAGTGACATCTGCACTCCCATGACTGTTCCAGCACTGTTCACAGTAGCCAAGATGTGGAGTCAACCTACCTGCCCATCAGTGGATGAATGGATAGAGAGAATGTAGTACATACACACAATGGAGACAACTCATCCATACAAAGAGAAACGTCCTGTCATTTGCAGCCACATGGATGGACTGGAGGTCATTACAAGGATTGCCATTTCTTACTCACATGCAGGATGTAAAAGGTGGACCTCATGAAGGTAGAGAGTAGAATGGTGGATACCAGAGGTTAGGAAGGAAGGGGTGGAGGGTAACAAAAGAAGAATATAAAAGTATTTATTTATTTATTTAGAGACAGAGTCTCTCTGTGTCACCAGGCTGCAGTGCAGTGGCATGATCTCAGCTCACTGCAACCTCCTCCTCCTGGGTTTAAGCCACTCTCCCGCCTCAGCCTCCCAAGTTGCTGGGATTATAGGCGCCTGGCACCATGCCTGGCTAATTTTATTTTTTTTGTCTTTTTAGTAAAGATTGGTTCCCCCATGTTGGCCGGGCTGGTCTCCAGCCCCTGATTTTAAATGATCCACCTGCCTTGGCGTCTCAAAATGCTGAGATTACAGGCGTGAGCCACCGCACACAGCATATAAAGGTATTTATGATCCCTAGATTTTACACTTAAAAATGGTAAAGTTGATAAATTATATAGGTATATTTAACCTCAATCAGCATTTTTTCAAAGGAAAAGAAAAAGTGTAGGGGTTGCTGGTGATGACATCTCTGTGTAGGTGAGAGGCCAGGGTGGGCTTCTGGGAAATGGGTAAGGTTGAGGGGCTGAGGGAACCTCTGATCTCCCCAAACTGAGCCCAGTCTCCCTCCTCTGGGTCTGTCCTGACCACTTTCTCCATCTGCCTGGGTACCCGGAGCCCTTACTGCAAGCTTCCATGCAGGCCATGCAGGAGGGTTTGGAGGTGCCCTGTCTGCCATCCTGTGCCCTGATCCCACCCTCACACCATGCTGCATCTTCTCTCCACATCTGTCCATGCTTCTCTCCATCATCAGCAGGAAGCTCCTCAGCTAAGGCTCTAGGACCATAGGACATGGGACAGACATTGGCTTTCCTCACCTGTGACAGAAACAGGCAGTGGGTCACTCGGGTCTGACCACTCGTAGGGAGATCCATGGAAAGAGCCGAAGCATCTGTAGGTCTCTCCGTGGGTGGCAGGACCCAGAGGGAAGTCGGCCTGGAATGTTCCATTGATGCTGGGCACTGCAGGGAGCCTAAGTTCATGGGCTTCCCCCTCCCTGGATAGATGGTAGATGTCAAAGGAGCTCTGGGAGCTGCAGGACAAGGTCACGTTCTCTCCTGCGCGAACCGTGGGGCCCGGCCGGGCTGTAAGCGAAGGTTTCTCATATAGACCTGGAAGGAGAAGAGGCAGTTTCCTCAGGGAGGTTCTTCCTTGTCACAGCTCCCCTCCCACCTGAGCTGAGAACTCACTGCCCTGCTCTATGGCCTAGTGCTCTCTCTCTCTCTCTCTCTCTCACCCTCCACCCCCAACTCTTCCTGTCGATCCCTCCCTATGTGGTTCCAGCCTGGTGGTGGCATCAGCAGTGCACCCTTGCTGATCTCAGGGTAGCCAACCTTCTTGTTTGGTTTTTTAACTTGTCCTTCACCTGGGTTCCTGTGTTGGTTTCCTGATGTTGCTGGAGAAAATTATCACAAACATGGCGGCAGGAGAGAACACACTGACCCCTTCCACTTCTGGAGACAGAAATCAGACCCTGTTCTTCCTGGGCTACAATCAAGGCATCTGCAGGGCTGCATTCCCTCTGGAGACTCGGGAGAATCAGTTCCATTGATTTCTCCAGCCCCTTCGTGGCTCGTGGTCTTCCTCCACCTTCAAAGCCCACAGTGGCTGGTGGAGTATCCCACGATGCTGCTCTAATCCCCATTCTCCTCTTCCTTCTCCACTCATATGGACCCTTGTGATTACACTGAGCCCAGTGGGAGGGTCCAGGCCATCTCCCCATCTCAAGGTCAACTCATCAACAACCTGAGCTCCATCTTCCCCTTCAGTCCCCTGCCCTATAACATAGTCACAGGCTCCAAGGATTACAATGTGGCCATCGATGGGGACAGTTATTCTTTCCAACACAGCACCCATTCCCCTGTATTCAATCCCCCTTTACCCCAAATATAGTTGGGGCCTGGATGATCGGACTCTGGTGGACACCCCCACCAGAAGCTCTGGGACTCAGGAGGTGGGACAAGGAGAAGCCCAGACAGGAGCCCTCTGACCTGTGACCATGATCACCAGGGGGTTGCTGGGTGCCGACCACTCAGTGGGGGAGTGCGGGTGAAAACCTCGACATCTGTAGGTCCCTGCGTGTGCTGGGGTCACAGGGCTAATGAGGAAACTGTTCCAGAATATTCTGTTGTAGAGCTCAGGGACAGGGACCCCATCTTTCTTGTACAGCGTGAAGATGTTAAACCCACGACGACAGTGACACCGAAGAGTCACGTGTCCTCCTTGAGGCACCACAGCGCTGGGCCAGGCAGAGCAGAAGGGCTTGTCCTGACCACCTTGGGGAGAAGGAGATGCCGCCTCAGAGAGGAGTATGTTGAGCTGCCCCTCCCTCCCTGTGCTCAGAAGATTCTCCCCATTTCTTCTTTCTAAGGCTCCTACCACACCTGGGTGCCTGGGGCTACAGGAAGGACCCATCCCGCATAGACGTGGCGTCTCCCTACAACAAAAGTGTCAGTTGAGAACTGAGCAGGTGCTGAGTAAGGGACTCTTACTAGATTTTAATACTGCAAGATTAGTTACACCAAACAACACAAAGTAGACATGGGGTGGAGGGTATGACCTTTGTGAATGGAATATTAGCTAATGCCTGAACCACAATAAACAACTGAGCTCCATCAGAGGATTTGGAATGGCAGGGTCGTGGCTGTGGTTCCCCCACCTCTTCTGGCAGAATGACAGCAGCCACACTGCAGCCCCTACCGTCATGGAAACGCTGGAGGGTGTGAGTTACCCTCTTGTCCTCAGAGGACCTGCTGTTCCTAACACTGCTACCCTTCCCTCCTCTGTCGGTGACACCACATCCCCCCACACACCCCAGCTTTGAGCACCTCAGTATCCCGCCTGGGCCACACAGAGCTCAACTCAGCCATGGGGAAGAAAGGCTGGGGAGGGCTAAGACAAAACAGAAGGCTGAGCATACCAGGATCTCCTCTTACTAGTTCATGAGAGACTCCCAGGATCTCCTCTTACTAGTTCATGAGAGACTCCCAGGATCTCCTCTTACTAGTTCATGAGAGACTCCCCCCAGGCCTTCCCATGGTCAGCCCATCAGCCCACCCTCTGTGCTGCCTCCCTCCCATTTCCGGAAAATTCACTTGTATTGGGGTGAAGATGGCAACCCATCATTTGGGGAAGGACTCACCCACGTGTGCCCACACACTCTGGTCCAAGAAGAACCCTGCAAAGAAAGATCATGAGGAACTATTCATCTCGGCAGCAACCTACCCTTTCCTCCTGAGCCACTGGGCGCCACGCTGGACTGAAAATTAACTCATCCTCACCACTCACTTGCTTCAGAACATGGCTCTCTGCTGGGGAGACACCCAATCTGCAGGCCCATAGTGTAACCCTGGTGCTCCTTCCCTTCCAGGACTCACCAAGACATGCCAGGATGATGACCGTGGGTGACATGGACATGGTGCAGCTTCTGCTGCCAGGACGCAGTGACTCGGCTCGACTGACCGGTGCAGAGGATGTGGTGAGGGGCCCGGATCGTGCAGTTGACACATTGACCACAACATGTGAAGGGGACATAGGTAGGCTTCTTCTACGTCATATGAGGTTCAAGTGGTGAATCAGTCAAGGGAGGAATGAGGGTTTCTGAAAACTGCAGACTAGACTTGTCACTTCACATCATGCGCAACGGCCAGGCTCAAAACACATCTCAGACTCACTTACCCCTGCACGGGACGATTGAATTCTGCACTCACATGAGGAACTTTTG